>NC_000004.12:108921381-109072896 GCF_000001405.40 Homo sapiens
CAAAGAGATATAGCTATATTTCTATTTTTAAATACAACTATTAAGCATTTTCTTCCAGTTCTTTCAAAAATATTTTTAGTACGTTTTAGCAAAGTTATAGACACTCATCATTTCATGTTAAAAGTTCTTTATTCCATGACATTTAACTAATGACCAGCCTATTTTCAGTTTGTGACATTTCAGTTAATCAGCATGTTGCATTCTCACTCTGTAACACTAAATAAAACACTAGAGTGGTTGTCAGAAGAAGACCTGCTCATGCATCCTTTTTATTAAAAATATATAATGTTTAGGAACATTCAGAGAATCTGTTCACCATGTTATTTTGCAATCCTCACAGGAAGACTAACAGTTTCCTCATATAATCAGCTTTAGGTTATTGAAAGTACACTGTGCAATACTGCCTTTATATATTTCTATTTAATTTACTCAACCAACTGTTTAATGAGCTTGTTATTTGGTTTATCTGTGTGGTCAGACATTCTCCCTACTTATCTCACTCCCTTTATTTAAAATTCTCCCTGTTTTAGATTTTGCAGAGAAAATAGAGACTATCAGGTGTAAATTCCCTCAACATCTTGTCTCTCATCAAACCAAACGTATGTGTACCTCTTTCCTGTATCAGAGGAAGAAGAGCCCCTCCTCCTATACAAGGCAAATTCATCTGGTATACTCTGGAATCCATCCTTGTCTCTGTCCTCAGGGATCTTTTGCAATCAGTTACCCCTAGATCTGTATCAGAGGCTCCACTTCTTCACTAGTTCTTCCCCTTAGCATATAAACATATTTAATCATTTCCTCACTTGGGTAAATTGTTTGGAAAGTAAATGTTCGTGCTAAGTAAGGGCAGAATTTGGAGGCTGTGGTGATAGGAGATCTGAGAATGAAGAAAGGACTTGGGTTTTATCATTGTCTATGATTCCATTTTCTCCAGTGTCTCTAGAGTACTTTAGTTCTTAAAATGTTGATGTTAGAAAGGAAATCATAGAACAAGGGGTACATTGATTCAGTATTTAGACCGAGAATGTGTATGTTCAATTCATAAAGGCTTGTTTCCCACTGTAAACCTAAGTGCCACTTGAAAAAAATGTTGCTCACTAAAATTGTCTATTTCATCACACGGATATATAACCCCGGAAGGGAATATTTCAAACAAAAATAAGAGTGAATTCTACATTAAATATTTTAATTAGCGAATAACATATCTGATATTTTCTAATTTGGTCTGTTGCATAATCACACAAAATCAGAGATTTAGAATGACTAATCACAACTCTGAAATTCATAAAATTAAATAAGTTGTATATTTTAACACAATATTTAATGAAAATCTAAGGATGGCTACAAAGACAATATTTTCCTTTACTGTTAGGAAACTACTGCTACGTCTGGTAACCTCTAAAAATAAAAGCAGTTTTTAAGATTTAACATTAATTTTGAATTGGGAATACATGTCTTATAGAATTTTCATAACTATGCTGCCAAGAATATATTCAGTTACCAGAAATGTGCATATACTTCTTTGATCTCTCTGGCAGGAAAAATGGTAGGGATCTAACAAGAGTATCATCCATTACTCGGGGAGGGATACCTGGGATTAAGGCAGAATAAAATATAGGACACTTAAGTACAGGCAGACAGACACACACACACACGTGTGCGCATGCATGCACACATCCAGAAATACCAGTTATTTTTACTGAGCAAGATTTTACTTATATGCATTTGTTTTGAGTATCCTTAGATTAATAATACCATTATGTATCTATAACACTGTGGTAATTAAAGTTAAGCTTACAAATCAAAGTTTCCCTACTCAAAAATTGATTTTAAAATTAGGGTATGTTGCTACCAGTTGGTTAAGATGATTACATTTGATTAGTCTTGCGGTTTCTGGTACAAATGTAAGTTTATAAAGTAATGGGTAAATACCATAGAAACATTCATTAATTTATCAAATCTTTATTTTTGGTTTCTCTTTTGAGACAGGGTCTCACTCTGTTGCCCAGGCTGGAGTGCAGTGGCGTGATCATAGCTCACTGCAGCCTCAAACTCCTGGGCTCAAGCAATCCTCCTGCCTCAGCCTCCCAAGTAGCTGGGACTACAAGCACATGTCACCATGCCTGGCTAAGTTTTTAATGTTTTGTAGAGACAAGGTTTTGCTATATTGCCCAGGCTGGTCTCAAACTCCTGGCCTCAAACGATCCTCTCACCTTGGCATCCCAAAGTGCTGGGATTACAAGTGTTAGCTACTACTCCTAGCCTATCTAATCTTCCTTACACTTGTTTAGATTTTCATCCTGCACAACAACTTGGATGAATAATGCCATAAATTCATTATTCACTAGTTAAACGAATGCTGATTATTCCCAAAATTAAAGTCAATTGTTCTAGTGATTCAAGATTTCCAAAACAATTCCATTATTGTTATCCTCATAATTTAGTAAGTTTGTATCAAGTAGATTTCCAACCTAGAGTCATCATCTTTTCGGTTCATCTCTGTTAATCAATGAAATGGTCCTTCCTTATTTATATTTGCATATACTTTGTATATAACCAGTTAAGATGAAAATAATCTAGTTTTATTTTTTCAACATAATTTCTTTGCATATATCTCAAGATTAAAAACTGTAACATACAGAATCTCAACATATTGAGCTATATTTCTTTAAACTCCAGAAACATCAACTATAATTAGAACCTTAAAATACACTAATTTAAATACAGGTTCTGGGTGATATAAATTGTAAAAACTTTTAATTGAAGAATTCTGCATCATGAATATAACTTTATCAAAAAGATAAAAACTCAAAGAGTCACTGAAAAATTCTAAGCATGGAGTAACATCACTAATCTGCATATAAACCTTTATACCAGTTTTAATACTCTTTCAGAAAACATCATGGAAAGTTATGCAAAATAAAGTTCAGATAAAAACTGGTGAACACAGTAAGAAATTATATAGTATACTTGATATTCTTTCCAATTTTTCCTCTCCCCGCTAGATTCCATATGTAAAGATTTATGTACAATATTCAGCATATGGTGAGAAAGTAAGTTAAAGAAACATCATAGACCCCATGTTGGTGACTGTCTTTACCAAAAGCATGTTACTCGGGCCTCAGAGTAAAGTTTAACTCCTCCTACTTCAGTCCATCAGATACTTAAGAATATCTCTATGGTCCAGCCTTCTTCTCCAGTCACATTGCTACATTCCTGTTAAACCCATTTCTTGCTCCCTTAGCTAACGTAACGTTCACCTAATGACGACCCTACTTTTGGTCTCCTCCAATCCTTTCTGCACACTGCTGCCTGCGTGAGCTTCCCCTAATGGGTTCATACCTTTCCCATACTTAAATATCTTTCAATGGCTTTTCGTAGCCTTTTAGAAGAGTCTGAGCTTTGACAGTAGTTGCAGTTTTCTGCATAAGCCAGGCTTCCACATTTCTACACCTCTGTCTGTTCCTATAAGGGGCTTTCTAATCCCCGGTCCTCTCCTGCATCCATTCCAAATATCAGAGCTCAGTACCCTCACCTTTGGGGTTAGGTGCCCTTCTTTTGTTCTCCAAAGCACCCCTATGATGTTTTCATAGAATTTTCCAACAATAATCATAATTGTCTGGTTACTTCTTTATTCCCTCTAAATTACCTTTATCATGCACAGTAGCTGGCACATAGTGATTGCTCAGTGAATCGTTTTGAGGTTAATTCATTTATTCACTCACATAATAGTTTTTAAGAGCCCACTGAATTCTCTTTTGTCTACAAAATAAGACAAAACAAAATGACCACTCAGTGAGCACTCAAAACAAAATAAGATAAAAATGCATACCCCTGGACTTCATATACTAGTGAATGTAGTAAGACAGTAAACAAATAAAATATAAAATTGTGTCAGGTGGTAACTGCTAAAGCAAAGAGGGGGATATGGATTGTGAGAAGTAGATGGAATAGTTTAAATTGTGTGTGTGGTGGGGGCGGGGCGGTCATTTAGTGAAGCTCTCAGTGATAAAGAGGTCAGGAAAAGAGCCATGCATATAGAAGGGGGAAGAATATTCCAGGCAAGGGAAGAGCAAATGCAAACACCAAGAGTTGGGCACATGCTAAGTGTGTTCAAAGAACACCAAGTAGGCTATCAGTGAGTAAGTAGGAGATGGGGATACAAACAGGGAAGAACAATTGTATGTGTATGGCCTTGTAGGTGCTTGTAAGCACAATGATGTTTACTTTGAGTAGGATAAAATTTACAGAAATGAATAAATGGATACTTAAAGCAAATCAGGTTTTTTTATTTTTTAAACTTTAGACAATAGTGTCTCAACACAGAAATGGCAGGATTTTTCACCCTTTTGTTCACCTGACTCATTCTAACATTGCTGGCCTATTCTAATAGCCTCCAGATTAGCTCTAATTGCAAGCGTGAGTGGAGGAATTCAGGTCATGACTTCCATATGAATACAGCAAAGCCAAAATCATCCAAATTACATGGTATCATTAACAATGAGAGTGTTGTGTATGTGTATGTAGGCCTAAGGTCCCTAATGCACTTCAGAAAACAATTACGCAAACAGTAGATAGAATTATCAACCCAAGTAAATCTTCAAAGTAGGCTGTTAAGAAAAGAATGACTCTGTGACCATTATGTGTTGGCTGTACTTTCCAGTTTGTGAACAAAAAAATAACACAGAAAGACACATCATGAGATGGAAAAAAATTAATGAATTTTTCTGACACTACTGATGTTAGCACAAATTTGATTGAGGTATTAATTACTTAAACAGGATGCTGAGTTCCTAAATGATGTGCTTTAGGATGCCTCTTGGGACATGTTTTAAGGCAAGTTCTGGTTGCCTGCTATTAGGAAATGATGTAGGGGGCGGACACAGTTCCTGTTCTGTCCCTGATGACTAACAGTAAAATTTGAAGCTCTGAGAGCTGCTGGTCATTTCTGGACACAAGAATATACAACTAGCTTCTGTAATAAAAAACACAGGGAACAAAAAAGAGGTGGTCCATCTGTGAAGGGGAGGATAAAAGCCCAAAACTATTAAGCCATTTAAAATTATTTCCTTTTTAAGAATTTTTCCACGATTTAATAAAAGTTAGGCAAAATGAAGAAAATACTTTTAAAAGTCTAGTTCCAAAGGGAAGAATGATAACACGTATACTCTAACTTATGGAGTCATAAAACATTAGTACCAGACTTTCTCAAGGGTTTGGTACAACAGACTTTAATTACAATTTTTTGAAAGATATTAACCTGGTGAAATGCATCACAAGATCACAAAATACA
Organism: Homo sapiens; assembly: GCF_000001405.40. Lineage (NCBI taxonomy): Eukaryota > Metazoa > Chordata > Mammalia > Primates > Hominidae > Homo > Homo sapiens. The sequence goes on from NC_000004.12 coordinate 108,926,675, forward strand.
TAAACTTGGTTTATAAAGAGTAAGAGGAAATTTATCTTACTTAAGAAGGAATCATTTAAGATGCATGTATATAAAATGCCATGTTCTGCTTGGATGTTTGATGTGGGAAGGTTAAGAAACATAAACTCTAGCCACTATTATATGTACGTCTGGAGTGTAATTCAATTGATGTTTTACAAGATTTGGATTTCATAGCTTAAGTGTGTGGAAATGCCAACTAGAAACTGTTGGGAAATGTTTAGAATATAAGAGAGTGCACTGCAATGTTTTCAATGTAAAAGCCAGTGATTTAGTTGAAGTGGGTATGAAGGAACACAGTATAAACAAGAGCAGAGCAAGACAGTGCTGAGAAGGGAGAGCCTCATCTCTCGTTTCAAGTCTTTCATGGATCCTGTCTTCAGTCACACTTCATCATTTATATTTTCCCAAGAAGTCCATATCCTTCTCCGATCAGTCTTCATGTGAAGTTCTTAATCATTCTTCAAGGCCCAGTGGTCATAACTCACTTCCTTTGTGAGCCTTCTCCAGCACACCCAGACAAAGCTTGTTTTTTTCCTTTGTGTTTCTTTAGCACATTTCAACTGGCTATATTTTAACATATTTACCTATTTTAAAAATCCACTTGACTAAAAATCCACTTCCTCAGGCCATATATTTCACATCGTCAGCACCTAGATTAGTGCCTAACACATAAATAATTATTGACTAAATGGAAAAAATGAATGAATGAATTTAAAAATTATTAAATTATGTTTAGCGGCTTTCCACCATTATTTCAACACTCATATTACCATACCTCTATCACTGGAAAGAGTTCCCAGTTTGAGGCAGTTGTTCTGTTTAAGTATCTGAGATTTTTGTTTCCGTAATATCACCCCATAATTTCTATTATTTGAAAAAGTTCCTCTACAACCCAGAGCCTGTTACGAAGATGGCATGTCATTATATTTATTCATGAGCATTTGATGAAAAAAAGTTCTACATGCAGTAATTATTTTTTAAAAGAGTAAATTCTTTTTGACTTCTCTATCTCATGTGCTGAATTTTTGAGGAAAATATTAAGCCAGGATGATTCATTTATTGGTGTTTCTCAAAATCATGAGGCTATGACCTCTTTAAGGGAGGTCTCTTAAAGCTCAGGAAATTAAAGAAGTAATACATTTTTCTCACCACTTGACAAAACCAGAACCCAAGACTAAATATTGAGCATTATATACCATAGATTAAAGATAAATCTAGGTATATAAAAATCTATTTTTGATCAGATTCCAAAACAGAGACTCTATATTACCTCTTGCCAGATATCCACACTAAAATTAGCTCACTCCAGCCCTTCTAAATATTTAATAAATTGCTTCGTATTGCTAAACCCAAAATGGAAATGATCCGAAAAGAAAGAAAAATTAACAGGCTTCTTTGCCCTCTGTGATTAAACATACTTCCCTCGAGTACTATAAAGGAAACAAATTTATGGTTCACAAAGGCCTATCACCCTACACTACACTCAGTAAAAAATATTTCCATTGAGCAGTGTAAGTGCTTTTCCTATTTTAAATCAACAATGCTGAGAAACACTGGCTGCTAGAATTTAAATAACTCATGATTCACAGAAAAAGTTCTTAAATTTAAGATTATAATATATAGTCATATCCTATTCAGATCTGTTTTCTACCTAGATGGATCTGCACTGTCTATTAATAACAGAACTTTCTTTAATGACAGAAACATTCTATATTGGTCAATCCAGTAGGATAGCCACCAATCACATATGGCTACTGAGCACCTGAAATGTGGCCAGTACAATATTTAGACACTGAATTTTTAATTTTATTTATTTATGTATTTATTTATGTATTTATTTATGTATTTATTTATTTATTTCTACAGGGACTCACTTTATCACCCAGGCTGGAGTGCAGTGGCATGATCTCGACTTCCTACAACCTCTGCCTCCACCTTCCAGCCTCAAGCGATCCTCCTGTCTCAGCCCCATAAGTAGCTGGGACTACACGCATGAGCCACCAAGACTAATTTTTGTTTTTGTTTGTTTGTTTTGTAGAAATGGGTTTTCACCATGTTGTCCAGGCTGGTCTCAAACTCCTGAGCTCAAGTGATCCACCCACTTCGGCCTCCCAAAGTGCTAGAATTATAGGCATGAGCCACAGAGCCTGGCCAACCTTAAATTTAAAGAGCCATATGTAGCTAATGGTGACTGCATTGAACAGTGCAGATCTAGACAATAGAACACCCAAGACTGAAATCAGGTGAACTGGATTCTAGCCTGGTTCTGCCGTTAACTATTTTGTAACCTTGGCTGTTTCCTTTTCACTCTGATGCTGTTCTGTGAAATGCTAAGCTAAATGATTTCTAAGATTTCTTCTAAACCTTTTATATCCTACTTAATAAACAGCCATATGGTGTGACTAGAAATTGGTTGTTTCTTTTTTGTTTTGTTTTGTTTTGTTTTGAGACCAAGTCTCGCTCTGTCACCCAGGCTGGAGTGCAATGGTGCGACTTTGGCTCACTGCAACCTCTGCCTCCCAGGTTCAAGTGATTCTCCTGCCTCAGCCTCCAGAGTAGCTGGGACTACAGGCACCTCCCACCATGCCTGCTAATTTTTTCTATTTTTAGTAGAGACAGGGTTTCACCATGTTGGCCAGGCTGGTCTCAAACTCCTGACCTCAGGTAATTCACCCACCTCGGTCTCCCAAAGTGCTGGGATTGCAGGCATGAGCCACCGCGCCCGGCTGGTGTGACTAGAAATTGATGCAATTACTTTTCCATTGTCCTCATGAAAATCATCCTTTTAGTTATAACGTGCATATTTATAAGCACACATATACTCCAAATAATCTATAAGACATATATAAATATAAAAAGATGCAGGCTGGGCGTGGTGGCTCACACCTGTAATCCCAGCACTTTGGGAGGCCCATGCAAGAGGATTGCTTGAAGCCTGGGCAATACAGCAAGCCTCCATCTCCATAAAACATAAAAATTAAAACATCTGGGTATGGTGGTGCATGCCTTAGTCCTAGCAACTTGGGAGGCTGAGGCAGGAGGATTCCTTGAACCCAGGAGTTTGAGGCTGAGGTGAGCTGTGATCATGCCACTGCACTGCAGGCCAGGTGACAGAGCAAGACCCTGTCTCTAAAACAACAAAACAAAACAAAAGAAGAAAAATAAGAGCAATTTTGTGTAATTCTGTTGAATTTATCCTACCCAATCCTACCCTTGGGGCATAATGACATGACATCAATTGGGAGAAAAACATAAAGCTAATTTCTTTTTATTAGAGCCTGATTTATTAATTGATTAACTCATATCACTCAGTCACTCTTATTATTAAACACACTAAGTACCAATAACTATTATATGATGTGACAAATGCTGTGGAGAAGGGGAGAAGACAGCTTCTAACTTAGCTTGGGGGAGTGTGAAAGTGTATGCATGTGTGAGGTTTCCTCAAAGGAGGTGACCAAGCAGAAGTCTATATCTTTTTTAAGGTTCCACTCAGACACATGGATCCTGAACTTCCCTTAGATCTGGCAAGGAGGCTTTTGTCTTGTGCCCATGCTTTAAAAGGCTTTTTTCTGGTTGTGCTTCCCAGGGGGTTAGGAATCTGTGGGTCTAAGAGAACATGCTCATCTCTATACATACCCTCCACCCTCAGCCCTACCACCCCACCCAGCCACCTGACCTTCAGGTACTAAGGACTCCAGAATTCTCTGCCCCAATGACTTGAGCTCACTACAAAGACTATGTGTTGCCTCTTCCCAGGCCTGTTCTTCTGAAGGTAAACCATACCACTGGTGTGCACCACAACAAATTGGAAGAGAAGGCAAAGAGGTGGGTATTTTGAGGGGGATAGATGAAATTTGGTCCTGTGAGCATTCAAGAACCTTTATAAAGTTAGAGGCTGAGTCTTATAAAGTTGAAGAATGGAGGAAGGTGTGGGAGAGAAGGGAAGCAGGCCAAGGACAGGGCTAGGGCTAGTTACAGCTCTCCTCGTGCCACCACACTGTGGCTTTGAACTCCAAGGAGTGCAAGAATTCTGGATTTGAACTTTCCAAGTCATCATGAGAATATATCTGTAAAGGTTGGGGGATAGAACATATTTTACTGAACAGTTTTATTAGGTTGGTTTATAACTTAAATATTTAGACACTTTGTATAAGGACTCCCATTTTTCCTCTTGCCCTAAAACTTGTACATTTGCCCTAAGTCTGCAAATGTAAAGCACAAACAGATTTAACTCTGTTTTTAAAAATTTCTTCTTTATCTAATGATGAAATATGAGAATTTGATAAGACAGATCAATTATAACTTGGTTAATATTCTCATACAAGAGTCACTTATTTTGCTTCAGTAGAGCTAGAATAAGCTGGATTCTACAGTTACAAGAAGTGACAACTAGATAAGTTGATTATGGTTTTGGAGAAGGAGACAATTTTTAAGACTTTCTTCTATTCAAAACTTAGCATATGACTGTTCATTGCTTTTAATTATTTACAGAACATATATAACAGATACATATAATATGCATCTGTGCATTCATAATAGAAACAGAGTAGGATGACGGGACTTTAGAGTTGGAAGGGAAATCATGCCGTTTAGTTTCACCATTCTTTACAGATGAGGAATCTAAGGCCTAGATACCTTAATTTGTCCAAATGATAGAGCTTATTAGACCTTGAGCTGGAGCCACTGTAAAAATAGTTAATAATAGAGCTGATTCACAGCCTAGAGGTCAATAAGGAAAACAAAATTAAGTAATGAGAGAGGAATACAGACAGAGTCATCTACTCAGCTGTTGAGACTGTCTTTCTGCTACATAATCATGCTTCTAGATCACTGTTGAAAATGCTCCCCAAGATGACATTTTGTTTCTAGGAGACAGAACCAGCTTCAAAGGAAAGTCAAATGTTCCTTCCTATCACCTCACTAGGTGACCTTTAGACACCTCTGGAGAAGTCTGTGCACGTAGGAATCAACACAGAGCAGGTCCCCCCAGCCTGGGGAGACACAGCTCCACTGTGTTGATTCTATGGCAGGACTCCCTGGAAGGGGTGGTGGGGCAGCACCAGAAATAGAAGGCATCACTTGTCTACTTTTTCTGGTCCCTTTGAAAAACAGCACTACAGGCTCTGGGCAAAAGTACCAAGGAGGTGGGAAGAGCCCTGCAGGTGTGCCATTTATATGTACTTCATGGACAATCAGATTAAGGGAGGCTGATAAAGCATTAGAATGGTTGCTAAGGCATCTCAGCAGGCAGTGTGCACAACTGAAGGACATGCAGTTTTACCAAACAAGATTTTGTTGCAAAATCTAGTCTAATAACTAACTACAATAAGATGATTTCAGTCATTTTTGTTATTTGTGATTTGAAGGTTTGGGGGTCTTGCTTCCTCTGCCAGATCCAAATCAGGAAGTCTGCTGTTGTCTTCAGTGTCTGCCATCTGCTGATCAAGATAGCAGGCAGATCAAAGCACAGTGAAGGAAAGCCATGAGTTTTATGAAATCCATGGGATAGCAATGCATTATAAATTGAACATATTTAAAGTAAACCTTCACATACTGGGTATTTCAATTTTATTTTAAATGCAACAGAAACATTTTCATGCTTACGTTATTAACTAATATTTTAAAAACATTATATTCACTTCACCCAAATGTATTAAATGTGTTTGCAGGTAAAATTAAAATAAACTAAAAGTATCTGTAAACTGTTTGGACAAAAGTCCAAATTTCACTTTAAGGCACCACAACAGCAAATATTTCTGAGTTTTGAACTCTCAGATACCACTACGGCCCAATGAGGAACACTTTAAGTATTCTTATAATTCAGTAGAAGATAAATGAATACGTTATGGAGTTTATATATATTTAGGGGAGGAGAAGAAAGGAATAAAGAGTTTCAGAACAGGAAAGTGATTTGGTTTTTGAAACCTTGGATATAGACAATTTGGAACAAAAAATAATATACATGAAACTGGAGCAATTTGGTATATTTTTTTCAATACCGTCTATCTTTCATGCTTTTGAAAATTTCTGCATCTGTCAAAGAAAGAAACAGCAAGAACATCGAAAGGAAAGATACCTTTTAAAATACTGTTTTAACAACGATTTGAATCTCTGAAGAACTGAAAGATAAAGATAATTTGTGCTAGGATTCAGAACTTGATCACTTCCAATTATGGTCATTCCTTTGTTTCATTCTTGGGTCTAGTTTTATAAGATACAGCAGCTCTCTCCTTATTTAGATGGAGTCAAATTTATTTAAGTGCAAAATCTGGGTTTTAAAAGCTCATCCTGAACTTCTTGGAAACCCAAAGGTCATGTTTACAGAATAGATGCATGGCAGGATTAAATCAATGTGGAACTGCGTGAGCTGCAGGTTTTCTTTTTTATTCTATCATAGATGCTGTTAATCGTCAGATGATTACTTCTGCAATATAAACTATATATCTTAGATTATGAAAACTAATTCCCTACCTGAGACACTCATGCAGTTTTGCAAGAGCTAATTTTAGATTGTTTCTAGCTTCTTCATTTCATCATCAGAGACATTTTAAATTTATAACAACTCTCTAGTGCCTCTTAAGGCCCTTATGTAAGCAAGCACTCCTCCATGACACAAACCAACAAATGTAGTGGGGTTTACATAATGTGAAAAAGATGAGAATAGTGGTATTTATTATCTTTTGTTTGTCTTAATAAGTGGGCGAGAAGGAGAATGTTATGAAAAATTAATAATGTAAGATGATATGATATTTAGGAGAAGAAAGCTAAAACAACAACAACTACAAATAGGACAAAAGCAATAAATTACACTCTTAATTGCACTATTTGACATGTTGTAATTTAATTGGTAGCTATTATTCAACTATTCTTAGCCCTTACATTTCTTAGAGCAGCCTTTCTGTATGCCAAGTTATATCACTAGACATTTGTTTTAATAGTAGTACTTCTCAATTATGGAACCCTTTGTGGTTCATAAAACATTTCATATTATCATTTCACTTGCTTCTCACCATAACCCAGTGAGACAGGTAGAACAGGAATTATTACCTACATTTTATAGATCAGTAAAAAGGATCACAGACTATAGTCATACACCACTAAGTAGTTCTAAAACCGGAACTACTTTTCTCCCTACCAGATTTCAAGTTCACAGACACACACACACACACACACACACACAATGTGTGAAAGAAAATTTCTAAGTTTCTAAGAAAAATTTCCTCCTCACGATTCCTCAAGGATCTAGAACTAGAATTACCATTTGACCCAGTAATCCCATTACTGGGTATATACCCAAAGGATTATAAATCATGCTACTATAAAGACACATACACACGTATATTTATTGCGGTACTATTCACAATAGCAAAGACTTGGAGCCAACCCAAATATCCATCAATGATAGACTGGATTAAGAAAATGTGGCACATATACACCATGGAATACTATGCAGCCATAAAAAAGGATGAGTTCATGTCCTTTGCAGGGACATGGATGAAGCTGGAAACCATCATTCTCAGCAAACTATCACAAGGACAGAAAACCAGACACTGCATGTTCTCACTCATAGGTGGGAATTGAACAATGAGATCACTTGGACACAGGGCGGGGAACATCATACACCGGGGCCTGTTGGGGGGATGGGGGGCTGGGGGAGGGATAGCATTAGGAAAAATACCTAATGTAAATGATGAGTTGATGGGTGCAGCAAAACAACATGGCACATGTATACCTATGTATCAAATCTGCACATTGTGCACATGTACCCTAGAATTTAAAGTATAGTAAAAATAATAATAAAAGAGAAAAAAAGAAAAATTTCCTCCTCATGAAAATTGCAGTTATATTTCTAGTATCCTCTTCTCTCTTTGATATGAGTTAAAATATACAGGTGCTATTCAAGTTAACAAATCATGATTTCTTTTTAAAAAGATAGATTTTTAGATTGGAGAAATACTTCATGTTAAGCAAACATAAAATATAGAAATTCAGTTTGCTGAGGAGAAGAATTAGGGGATTACACTGATTTACAGAAAGATTCTGAATAGGATTTCTTTAAACAGCAAAATTCCCTGGCACATTCAAAATATGTTGATTTAAGAAAATCTGATTTATACAAAACTTTACAGGAATACATCTGTTATATAAATCTACACTCACCTGTAATTTACTTTAGAGAGAACAATTGAGTGATAATAATAATAACATACTCATATAGCTCTTCATTATATGTTTTAAAGTGCTTTCCCCTAATTTATTGCTTTGTCTTTGGCAACCTTTTAAGGCAGTCAGAGAGGGTATTATTATCCCTCCTTCACAGATGAGAAATTGAGAGGTTAAGTGACTTGCCCAAGGTCAGACGGACATTCATTCATTTACTGCTATCAGAATGATGTAGTTTTAACGGGGTAGTCAAGGAAATATGGTTCTTCCTCCTATTTTTTTAAACAAGCTGTGAAAGCCATTAAAAGAGGTAGATGATCTCACAAATATAATGTTGAATGAAAGAAGCCAGACACAAAAGTGTACATACTGTAGGATTCGATTACTATAAAATTCAAATGTAGGCAAAACTAAAGTATAGTGACAGAAGTCAGGGTGGAGGCTACCTCTGGGATGGCAACTGGGGGTAAAGAAGGGTTTAAGATAATGTCCTTGTTCTTGATCTGGTTTGTACATAGTTTTGTTCACTTGGTGAAAATTCACTGGGTTATGCACTATAATTTGTCACTTTTCTTTATATACATTAAAGAGGTTTTCTCTTTGAAAAGAATCGTACATCTTTAAAAACAGTAATTTTTAAATGCCATTTAGATCACTTAATATATATATCCTTGAAACATTTGTCATTTTCATTGTTTCTTAAATGCATTTAAAAAATAACACGAACTAAATCCTAAGAGTTTAAAGAGTCAAGAAAAGTTTGTAGAAAAAAAAAACCAGTATTGTTTCACCTGAGAAAGTTTTGATATGAAATGAGAATTGGAGCACACTAAGATAATAATGCAAGTGATTTAGGATCAGGTCAAACATTTGTATTTAACTATGTCAAACTGGGAATAGTAAGCAAATGAGATTATATTGTTATTCACATAGTATATCCTAGAGAGCATATGTAATATGTAAGAGAGAATTCCTTGAGTAGAAGATAAGAATTTTTAAAAAATATATCCATTTTATTTTAGAACATTGTATATTAGGATGCTGTGTTGGGTATCAGGGAAAAAAGCCAATGCCAGTGATAAAAATCTGAGTAGTCTGTGCACACCTGGGGACAAACAAAGGCTCCTGAGAAGCCCACATAGCTTTCGATATAAGAATATACGGGGAAGAATGTGTTTTCACCATTTTCCAAGACAAAAATTACATGTACCTTCAATTGCTTAAATTAATTTCAAAATTTTATTGCAGTTCTCCCAGAATTCTTCATACTCTATAACTCCATACCACTGAGAGCTAATGCTGCACTTGTATGCATTTACCACTGATGACAAAGGTTTTGTTTAAGTTTTACATATGGACTTTTTTCCGTTCCTTCCACTTTTTTCTTTTTTAAACAAAAACCATTATAGCACCAAAAATTATCTGTATTGGGCACGGTGGCTCACGCCTGTAATCCCAGCACTTTGGGAGGCCGAGGCAGGTGGATCACAAGGTCAGGAGATCAAGACCATCCTGGCCAACATGGTGAAACCCCGTCTCTACTAAAAATACAAAAATTAGCTGGGCCTGGTGGCACACACCTGTAGTGCCAGCTGCTCAGGAAACTGAGGCAGGAGAATCGCTTGAACCCAGGAGGTGGTGGTTGCAGTGAGCCGAGATCGCGCCACTGCACTCCAGCCTGGGTGACAGAGCAAGACTCTGTCTCAAACAAACAAACAAAAAAATTGTATCTTGATATTACAGGTCAGGAACAGAGAATTTCCAGGCAGTGAGTGAGATCTGGACCCAGAATGCTTTCATTTCACCAGGGATCCTGCAAAGGCAGCTGTACCTACAGCTGACTCCCCAGGAGAGCTGCTGAATACAATCCAAGCCCAAAGAAGCCTTGTTGATTCCTGACTCTATGCATTAGTTTCACTAGGACCTACCTGTTTCTTAAATATATATATATATATATATATATTTAGAGACAGGGTCTCACCGTGTTACCCAGGCTGGTCTCAAACTCCTGGGCTCAAGTGATCCTCCCCTCGCTGGCTTCCCAAAGTGCTAAGATTACAGGTATGAACCCCCGTGCCCAGCCTACCTTTTATACCTTGAACATCTGCATGCTGCATGCCAAACATTATGCAGGATGGAAAGTGTCAAGCTGATTGTGGTCACCTGCCAGCTCCCTGGCAATCTCTGGGCCCATTCCTTCAGTATCCAGGATGAGTGTGAGCCGTCCTCTGGCATTTGGGTTATTAGAGAATTACCCCGTGCTTCCCAATAGTGTTCACATCATAACATAGATTAGAAAGGCAGCTCAGGAGACAGACAGGAGGGGACAGGAAGAGGTAGGTTGAAGGAATTCTACTCTTCCCGAGCCACCAACCTAACCAAACATTTTTTCTACCAGCAAAAGATAAACAATTCATGGGGAACTGGGACCTGTGTGTCTATGAGTAAGTCCATGTGGAATCATTTCAGGACCATTTTTTTTTTTTAAATGACAGAGAACCAAAAGGCACAACGATTTTTCTCCGGGTAGAGATATTCAACAGTAGAAAAATTCTGAATCACTGTGCAAAGTTTGCTGTGCTAATTCATTTAGTCAGACCTGATCCCTTTGAAAATGGGATTTCTATTTCTATTTAAGCTAATAGGCATGCCCCTAAATTTAATCTCTCTTACAGCAGAGTCACTTAATTAATTCTCTCCTTTGACCTGCAGCATCTCTGTCGCTCCCCACACCTGGAATCTCTTTCTTTTTCTCCTGCAACAGCAATGTAGATATGTAGTCTTATGACCATTAGCATGTAGTAGGCCATATTACTTTTAACTTTTACTAATTTTCACTTTTTTATTATAGTCTGTCATATGACAGATACATTCATCACACATAATCTTGACCATAGTTGTAAACAACCAGGCTTAGTATAGAAAAAGATAAACTGAGATACTTGCCATCAAGCCTTGTTCTCCTGGCTTTCCTGGTTCACCCTTAAAAAAGAATAGTGATAATTTTAGTAACGCTGTAAGTATTTAAAAAAAAACCCTTCAATCATTTTTTCTTCTTTGACTGGGGCATGTAAATGTCAAATATATTTCTTCAGGTTAAATAGAGGAATGTAGCACATTAAAAGAGAGCTAATTTCCCTTCTACAAATAAACTTTACAAATTTAGGGTTTAATAAAATTAGTCTAGATTATCATGTCTTCTTTAGGATGACATAAAGATAATGACATGGTGTCTTTATGAGAACTCAGAACTTTCATACATAGGACAGAGAGACAATTGCTCTTAGTGCAGGTGTTTAATAAAATGAGCAGAGACTGATGTTAAATTTTGGTCTTCCTGGATTAATGACGGCTGAAGTAACATGTTTCATTAAATTTGATAGAGAAAATTACACTATATCATGACATTATCATTTTCTTATATTCAGATTGATATAGAATTATATTTTATTGTCATTATAATGACAGTCATTGGCTAAAAATATTTTTGTCTTAAATTGCCAATAAATATAGATATTGCTGGTCTTTCAAAATAAGTATTTCACAGTTTATTTTTATAGTCTTCTTCTAGCAAGGTATGATGACACATGCCTGTAATCTCAGCTATTTGGGAGGCTGAGGCAGGAGGACTGTGTGAGCCCAGGTCTTTAAGGCTATGATGTGCTATGACGGCGTCTGTGAATAGCCACTGCACTACAGCTTGGGCAACACAGCAAAGACCTCATTGCACACAAAAAAATCTTTTTCCACTTTGGGAGGCCGAGGTGGGCAGATCACGAGGTCAGGAGATCGAGACCATCTTGGCTAACATGGTGAAACCCTGTCTCTACTAAAAATACAAAAAAATTAGCCAGGCATGGTGGTGGGCACCTGTAGTCCCAGCTACTCAGAAGGCTGAGACAGGAGAATGGTGTGAACCCGGGAGGCAGAGGTTGCAGTGAGCGGAGATCACACCACTGCTCTCCAGCCTGGGTGACAGAGCGAGACTCCGTCTCAAAAAAAAAAAATCTTTTTCTAGCAGTCATCATAGTATATATAAATAAACTCTGAGACCATATACAGTTCAAGTTATATTTCTGAAAATTTTAAAACAAGTTAATTTGTCCTATGTGTAGAAAGCTCCATTTCTTACTTACATAAATAAACTATATTCATTTAAAGAATGATATAATTTTGGATTGTGTGGTTTGTCATACTTTACCTTTAATTTTGTTTTTAAAAAGTAATTTCTATCTTGAATTTCAGTATAGTATAGCATATAATGCTCAATGATCTGACTAATGTACCATCAAAATGGTTTTAACTACTTTTTGAAGAGACACTCACTGTATTTCTGTTGGCAACCAGCAATCAATGGGAGAGCTTTAAATATCCCTAAAGCTGTGGATCTCTCTACCTTTTGGAATATCATCATGAGAAAAAGCAAGGCATTAGAAGACAGTTACAGAATTCAACCACTGTCTTTGAAGGTTGAGTGAAAGCAGTCCTAACAACTAGCAAATCATATGTTGAAAGACAATTCCTCATTTTATATCAGCAAATTCACAGCAGCTTTCAGAAAGGGATATGGGCTTATGAGGCTGTCTCAGAAGTTTTAAAGTACGCTATATTCTCATAAAGAGTCATTCTTTTAAAAATGCATAAATATATGCATATAAAAATGAAAGAAAATATACCAAAACATTAATGAGTATTGTAAATATTGTAAACATTAATGAGTATGGTAAAAGAAAAAAATATTTTTTTCTTTTTGGTTTTATTTTCAAAAGTTTCTGCTTCGTGGATAAATATTTTCATTATTATTATGTACTACAAAAATACTATGAAAATAATTTGTTAAATAAATACATTGAATAAATAATTTAATCCAGTAATAAACCTTAATTTCTAGTCCTAAAGTCATAAAATAAATCTAAAATTTTTGACCTTTTCCATATATTTCTTTTAATTGCTGGGTTGCCTCTATGAAATCAAACCATTTATCTTCTGCCTTTTACTACTATATCATTGACACTTGACCAATCTTAGTAGCCAAGTATTGAGATTACTTTTAAATTATTTCTATGAATAAGCCTTACATACAAAAGACAAATGATATTTAAACCATACCCACTGATGTTTTAGCCATTCATTTTACGGTTATTAGCAATTTTGGGGGTTCACGTTATTTATAAGGGATTAAATATTAGAATATTTTACTTCCTCTACTTTCCATAAATAGTATAGGACTTTATTGGTCTGCTATTGAAACTTTGGAAAATGTTATTAGACTCCTACTTAGTTTTTCAGACTAATCTCCCATTTAAACCAAAGGCCCCGGTGCACACTACGGCAGTGAGGATACACCTGGGAATGGGCAACTCCAATCAAAGACTTCTTGAGGCTTACCTCAAAAACAGTTTAGTGGCTGCCTCCAGGTGTCTCTTGTGGTTTGCTTGGATTCCCAGTGTATTCAGTGGTAAAGAGGAATGCAGCTGGGAGTGCCCTGTGCTGCTTGGGGACTTTCCCATCATCTCACTTCCCTCAACCTACTCCACTCATCATCCCACTTCCCTCAACCCACTCCACTCACTTGACCCCCTGACCTGATGCCCCTCACCACCCTACTCCACCCTAGTTCTCAGCCCTTAACATGAAGCAAAACGTGTGAGAATAAGTGATCCAAAAAGCGACTCACGGGTACTCCTGGCATTCCACGGGGGCCATCTTTCCCTGTGTCCCCAGGTGGCCCTCTTGGGCCTGGAGGGCCAGGGGGTCCTGGAGGCCCTGCCTGTCCTTGGTCACCCTGTGATGGAGAAGGGAACAGACCAGCAATAACCATGAAAGATAAAGACCCAGGTCTTCTTTTCAGCACCTTAAATTTGTATTATCTAATTCACATTTACACTATGAAAAGAACCAGAACAACCACAAATATAAAGCCTGTAGGCAATTTGCTTCCCAGCAGGGAGCAAATAAATATTCATGCTGGGTGACTGAGTAGATGCTATTAAAATCAAAGCAGTTCAGGAACCAGCACTTCCAGTTCTTGGAAATAGTGTGTATGTTACCACTATAGTCAGAGCTGGTATAAAACGTGTGCATTACTTTATCCATAACAACACTGCATCAGTTACATTCACCTCATTTAATAAAATGGCTGCATTTATAGTTAGACAAATGTGTTTACTTTAAATTAAGCATATGAGGCTCCCATCATATTGCCTAATAATTTATAAATTACCAAATCTAGAGAGCTTAGAAACTGGATCTGTTAGTAGTTACAATTTATAATTTTTTAATTAAGAAAAAATTAGATAGGCTTTTAATATCTTTTTTGGTAATTTATCTAACATTTCAAACAAATGCAGCTCACTAAACTTAATTTTGTTTGAGGATATTTCCAAATAAATGCCCACATACCACCCACACCCCACCCATAAGAGATAAATCGTAAAGCAATAGGTACACAGAGCAATAACTGATGTAAAGAAGAAATCAGACTTCAGCAAGAATAAGCACTACCTTAATCAGGCGGCGTTTAATGAGCTGCTGATCAGCAGAGAGAAACCCATGATTGATTTTAGGAAACACCATCTGATCAGTCAGTTGAGGTCAAAGGTTGAAGTTCAGAGATGAGAGAGTTGAAGAATAGACATCAGAAGGCCCCAAGAAAGAAATAAAGATATCCACATTAGACTTATAATGATTATTAAACAAAATAGAACTGGCACTTATGTCTAACATTAGACCCACTGGCTCTTCTTGAAAGAAATATAATCCTGAAATGGGATGCTGAGACCAGAACTTCAGTAGTAATGAATATTTTTTGTGCCTCATCATTTCACTGTGGATGTTGGACCTTTTTAATGTAGTTTATTCCCAGAAACAGGTAAGCAAGTGCACCCCTGCATTCTTCAGTCTGAGCAGAAAGTCTAGAGACAAAATGCCAGTTCCATTTCCGTCAGACTTGTCAACCAGCATAATGTGGCGTGAACTCAACTGCCATTTTATTGACGCCTGAAGTCCAGAGAGAGTACTTAGGATTATTTAATTGACTGGAAAAATATTACAGAGCATTAGAATGCTTGTAAATTAAGCCATCAAGGCGTGGCATGGTTCTAGATTGCTATGCCCACCTCTGTTCACAGTACCTGTTTGATGTCAATATCCTCTCAAGTATGCTCAGGATACACCCTCTTAATAGATATTTGACCTCAATGATGCAAGTGGGGTCCCAAGTGCCCAGTAACTTGATATATACCATGAGAGGAAGCCAACGGGCTCGGCAAGCCAATTGAATGGTTCCTGCTCACGCTTATGCTGATTGCATTTCTGACTGTGCAGGCATGAGTGACAACCACAAACCTTGACGGTGAGGATCTGATTACTGTGCAGGGCAGCAACTGTGGGGAAGCCTGGCAGGCCCTATGGACATAGCACAGCACCAAAACAACACGACATAAAACGTCACACAGACATTTCACTAGGGGACAAACAAAACAAGCACATACCTAGCACCTCCCTTTCCTGGGACTTAGAAGTCTTGCCTCATCTGACATACCATAAACAAAATTAGACACATAAGGCCCCAAAATAAACCTTTTTTTTTTTTCTTTTTAAGATGAAGTCTCACTCTGTTGCTCAGGCTGGAGTGCAGTGGCCTGATCTAGGCTCACTGCAACCTCCACCTCCCAGGTTCAGGCAATTCTCCTGCCTCAGCCTCCCTAGTAGCTGGGATTACAGCCATGTGCCACCACGCCCAGCTAAGTTTTGTATTTTTAGTAGAGATGGGTTTTCAGTTTCACCATGTTGGCCAGGCTGATCTCAAACTCCTGACCTCAGGTGATCCACCGGCCTTAGCCTCCCAAAGTACTGGGATTACAGGCATGAGCCACCACATCTGGACTTTTTTTTTTTTTTTTTTTTTTTTGAGATGGAGTCTTGCTCTGTCACCCAGGCCGCAGTGCAGTGGTTACAATCTCAGCTCACTGAAGCCTCTGCCTCCAGGGTTCAAGTGATTCTCTGTCTCAGCCTGCCCAGTAGCTGGGATTACAGGTGTGCACCACCACGCCCAGCTAATTTTTGTATTTGTAGTAGAGACTGGGTTTCACTATGTTGGCCAGGCTGGTCTCAAACTCCTGACCTCAAGGGATCTGACTGCCTCGGCCTCCCAAAGTGCTGGGATTACAGGCGTGAACCACCATGCCCAGTCAAACCAATAATTTCTTAAAGCATGGAATAGGGAAACTGAGAGCTCATTGTCACTGAGCCTGGGGCAGGTACAATGGGATCTGTGTCTACACGGTGTAAAGAGTTTGCTACACGAAGCATTTCTGGAATCTTACTTACAAAATTACAACATCTTAATTACAAAATGTTAGTACAAAATGGAGATAACTATAGACACTGTTACGAAAACCACACTGTAATTTCCCTCAATTGACATTCTGTTTACAACTCAGGACATACAATACGTGTATTAATTCTTTTTTGGACAACAACAGGGAACAAAATTTTGCCATCAGATCATACTTATTCCCCAGAATAAACACAGCACACCTCACAAAATATAGTCTTGCCACCCACATATCAAAATTTCTCTCTCCAATCATATGATGAATCTCAGATCTCTCCTGTTTCAGGAATTCATGCAGAGGTGGTGGATGAAAATCTGTCTCTTACAACATGTGTATTTCATGTCAGGGGGATTTATGGTCACACTCTGCAGTAATCACTTCTGTCACATAACTTTTCCAAAAGAACTTGACAGTTCACACAACCCCTTAATGCAGAAAAGCGGTTTTGAATTCCTTATCCAAGGAGAACAGGGAGAGATGTTTTAGACACTCGTTCTTCAATAACTTGTACTAACTCCTCCTCCCAGGCGTTATCAATTGGGTAAGTCTGAGAGAGAAATTTTGGCTTTGTTCTATTTCTTTTCTAACAACATGTGAAACTAAAGCCTTTTATTCCTTTTTTTCAAAAAAAAAAAAACACAGAACATGTTTACCATATAAATAAAATAAACAACAACCACAGCAATACATGGCCTAGGCTCTCCCTCTTCCCACCCAAATTTATCTTGTGGATATTTTTAGGAAAGCCCAGGAAATTTCTACATTTTCTACATTTTTAATTTTATTAGTTTCATGAATATTTCACCCCCACATTCCTCATATTAGAGATATGTTTTTCATTTTAAGAAAGGCAGTAAAATTAGTTTGTAGTCTGAAGACATTTCTTCAGCTCTAATGCCTTTGACTCTCAGTCTTCGGTACTACAACTTCTCAGGAAGCAAAACAGAGAAAATCTTATCTCTTTTGCCAAATCCGTTCTGATAAGGCTATTAAGTGGCTGCGTAGTTTTGAGGTGACCTATGTCCTCTTTTTCTTCTCTCTAAATACAAGTCCTTTAAATATAGATTCTGCATAAATTCAGAAATGCTACAAGTTTGAAAACAGATGTATACAATTTGCTTTTGTTTTACTATGGAATATGAGTTTAAAATGTTATTAGATGGTAATGTGCCAGCATCTTTCCATCTGTGACTCATTAGCCCTATATTACACAGTCAGAATTTTATATATAAACCTCATATTTATGTAACAAAGAACAAAAACAGATACAAACAAGAAGTCTATGAGGGATCAGAATCTTGATTAGTGGCGATAAATCATAATGTCACTTGAAACAGGATTATCTAACAAAATAATTTTAAATTAAAAACCTTTTAGCAGCACACATGGTAGGACTTAAAAATATTTTGAAATTTGAATGTGTAAATAAGTCACTTCTTGTACTCATCTCTGAGCATGACCAGCTTTCTATTTGATCGTATTTTCAAAATGCTCACAAAAAAAAAAGCCTTAAGTTTTATAACTCCTTAGTTTGGGTTCTAATTTTAATGAGATCTAAAGAGAGAATTGGATAGGTAATTCTCACCTCAGAAAGACCTTTTTCCTCAAACAGAATAATCTCTATTTGAGGAAGCTGATTTATATTCCTCAATCATCTTGACTGTGAAAATGCTACCAATTAGGTGTTTAGTGCTACATTTTAAAGATATCATTAGCATGCTAGGCAAGGAATTTTTCAGGAGTTTACGTGTAGCAAAGTAAAAAGGGGACATGTGGACAGAGTTTCTTATATTCTAACAAAAATCCCATGATTTGGGCTGCAATGTGCTAGGACCCTGTGCTTTTCAAACTGGGGTAAAAGTAACCCTCAGAGTATATGCCAGCATCCTACAGAGTGTTTCAAAGCAATAATAAATATGGTACATCTTCCTAAAAAGTATATTTAATTAATGGCAAATAAATTTAAACATTATTATGTAAAGCAAACATCGATATATATTATAGGGTTTTAGCATTCAAAATTGAATATGTTTTAAAAATTTTCACCATTTGATGGTGGTAAAAAAAATCCCATTTCACAGGGGCTGCCTCCAGATCCTAGGTAGACACTGACTCTGCTTCTTGCACGAGTTCTTTGGAGGGTTGGTTTGTAAAGTACAGGTGTTGACACCTATCTTCAGTACAGGTGTTGACACCTTATGGCTTTGTGTGGCCATACCTGCTAGGCTTCTCTAGCTGCTCATACAGAGGATATAATTTTTATTAACCATACCATTTTTTCCCACAGTATCATTAGTCATAATCCTTTCTAAACAAATAGAATGGACATATTTTACTTGGTTTTGCATCTTAGAAAATTTGCCTGGTACACAGATGGTTTGAGTGGGTGTGGAAAAACAAATGTGCCTCCAGAAAAATATGGAGAAAACATCCAGGAATAAGCTGAATATTGAAATAATTTTTGTTATTGTTGTTGTTTTTTGAGATGGAGTCTGGCTCTTCACCCAGGCTGGAGTGTAGTGGCGCGATCTCGGCTCACTGCAACCTCTGCCTTCCGGGTTCAAGCAATTCTCCTGCCTCAGCCTCCCCAGTAGGCTGGGACTACAGGCATGCACCACCATGCCCAGCTATTTTTTGTATTTTTAGTAGAAATGGGGTTTCACCATGTTGCCCAGGCTGGTCTCGAACTCCTGACCTCAAGTGATCCGCCCACCTCAGCCTCCCAAAGTGCTGGGATTATAGGTGTGAGCCACTGCACCTGGCCTGAAATAATTTGTACATATTTTCACACCCAAATACTTTGAATTCTTAAGAAATCGGATGTATAAGAGCTGTGAAACTACCATATATATAAAACTTATTTTTTTCCCTCCTGAGAGCATAAAGCCTCAGACAGCTTCATGAATCTTCATGACATTCTGTGAAGTAGGCAACCATCTCACAATGAATATTTTGACATCATTACAGGAAAGGCTATATCTCCCCCTTCATTACCATCTAGAAGAAACAATGCAAGCCTACCCCAAAGGGATATTGAACAAATAAATAATTCATAAGAAATGCTTCCAACTACTTAGAGGCCATACATTCAAGGTGTTATTGTCATTTTTATTGTTACGCAGTAATAATGAGTGTTATAAGATTACAAATAGTGAGAAGATTTTGTGCTTTCTCAAAAGTATTCAGTAAGGCAATGATAGAGCCAGAAATTCAATTCAGGTCTTCTGATTCTAAACTTTGTCATTACGCAATTTATGTGTTTATAATTTTCTTCTACCTGCTTTACAGTTTAAATATTAGAAAGCTTTAAAACTGACTAACATTCAACAATATTTAAAAAGCATTTGTTGAGCACCTTCTGTGCAACATTTACTATGCCATGCTCTGGGGATTGAATGGTGAGCAAGATCCCAAGCTCACAGGGTTTACCATCTAGTGGAGAAATAGAAATAAGCTGGCAGTTATCATACAGAGTGATAAGTATTATGGTGGAGAAGTTGGCGGGGGGGCTACAAAGAAAATAAAATGTGCACTAGACACATGTTTCAGGAGCCATGGAAGACCTCCCAAGCCAGGTGAATGAGGGGCTGGAGGTTGGTACAGGAAGAGTAAAACTGAAGATAGACCATTTAGGAAGGTATTACAATAGTCTAGTTGTGAGATTGTGTCTTAGAACTAGAGGAGGGACAAATCAATTGTTTCAATTGTTATTAAGGAAGTTGAAATTTGTAGGACTTGTAACTTGGCTGATAATATAAGGGTAAATGAGGAGCAGAGAATGGTCCTAGGTCTGTAGCTTGGACAATGGAAGGATAGTAGAGGGAACACAAGGAAGAGGCTTTCTGGGGTAGGCAGGTAGTTATGAATCATGAATTCAGCTATAGATTCACTGAATTTGAGATGTCTGTGGACAGCCAAGGGACAGCAGTTGGACACGCATATAAAATAGAAGGTGAGAAATGGCTGGGCGCGGTGGCTCATGCCTATAATCCCAGCACTTTGGGAGGCTGAGGCGGGCAGATCACAAGGTCAGGAGTTCGAGACCAGCCTGGCCAACATGGTGAAACCCCGTCCCTACTAAAAATATGAAAATTAGCTGGGCATGGTGGCGGGTGCCTGTAATCTCAGCTACTTGGGAGGCTGAGGCAGGAGAATCATTTGAACCTGGGAGGCGGAGGTTGCAGTGAGCCGAAATAGTGCTGTTGCACTCCAGCTTGGGCAACAAAAATGAAACTCCGTCTCAAAAAAAAAAGAAAAAGAAAAAGAAAGAAAAGAAAGAAAGAAAGGTGAGAATTATGAGCCATAGAGATATCTGAAGTCACCTAGGGAGGCTGTAGAGAAGGCAGACCCTTCAAAAGACTTAGGTTTAAGGGATGAGCAGGGGAAGAGGCAACTACAAAGAAGATGAAAAGGAGTGGCTATAGAAGCAGGAGGAATGGTAATTCTCCTCACAAAAATTCTAGTCAGGCAAATGACTCAAAATGATAGATGCATATACTCTACTTTGCTGTTTATTGCATCATCAATAATGCTGCCTAAATGCACATAAATAACTCATAAGAAGAACAGGTTAACAATGGCCAGTGTCACTGACAATGGCTGATCATTGATCAGCACAAGGGAGTGTACCTGAGGTTGTTGGGCTATGGAGGAAAAGATAATTATTTTAATTATGAAGAGTCAAGGGGCCCCAATAGCAAGTCATATTGAAAGAAAAAATATGCATTATGCTGAGAAATGAAATCTCCAAGTCTCTCTTTAATGTAAATACTATCATGATTCTGTTTGCCCAAAATACATCATGCATTACAACACGACCATCACAGTGGGCATGTGTGCAGCACAAATAGAGATAAATACTCCTCAAAGTTGATAAAAATAATTTCTAGCTAAGAGAGACCAGATGGGGAAATACTACAATAAGGTACAAAAATATTTAGGTAAAAGAATTGCTTCAGTTTAGCAGAAACTGCTAGAAGGCTAAATTAAGAAAGAAAAGAATTTAAGAGAAAGAAATTTGCAGCTAGATCATTCCATATTGCAGTAGATGGTATAATTTATCTGTCTGAATAGAAAAATCAACTATATAAAGCTAAACAGCTAAAGGAATTTTTGAACAATCATGTAATATGAGAATTGGGGCCTGTGGAAATCAGAAGTTATAACTGATGATAAAAGATTGCCTCATGGTATTATTAATTATGGGAAGAATTAGCCTTCTGTAGTTGAATATAATATTTTCAACTGGCTCAAAAAGTTACTATTTTTCTTTTTTATTGATACTCTAAATTCCATTCTACTACGTTTTCTCATAAATGTTAACCCTAGTCACCCCAGGAATTATCTTTTTTTGTCTATAAATGATAAGTGTAAATTTTACAAGTTATTTGAATATATTTTCAAGTGGCTCGAAAAGTGACTATTTTTCTTTTTTATAGATACTCTGAATTCCATTCTACTATGTTTTATCATAAATATTAACCCTAGTCACTCCAGGAATTGTCTTTTTATATGTCGATGATAAGTGTAACTTTATAAGTTATTTGGAAGAGAAAGAAAACAATGCAATCTCTGTATGAACAAATATCATTAAATACTGTAGCTACTAAAATGCTAAGTAAGTGAAGACAGCCTGCAAAAGATCTATGAATAAGAAGACGGCAGATACACTTCAACACTGGCAAATGCAAAGTATAAGAAAAGTGCCTAAACTATTCATATAGGGCCAAAGGCTCTACTTGTTGTATATGATCTATTAGGGGATTCCAGGCCTTGTTGTAAAGTGTTCCCTAATGACATACACCTAAGAAAAGCCAACAGAAGATGAGACCCCATGAAAAGAGGTAGAATTCCTGAAGAAGCATTTTCCTGGTCTGAGTGCACTAGAGAAGTATAGACACAGAATATAGGGAAGAAAAATAAAACAGCCTTGCAGTCTGGGATGATGTAGAAAAATAAAACTGTATTGATTTTATTTATATACACTCTGCTAGAACTGGATCAGAGCTATTCTCTATAAATAAACATCAAGAGAACAGTACTGTCTTAGGGTTTCTTAATAATAGTTAAAATAATAAATAATGACAATGGTGATGATGGCATTAATAGTGGTAAAGGCTTACATGATATGCTCTTTGAGTGAGGTATTCTTCTAAAAGTTTTATAAATATTAACTCTTTTAATCCTCACACCAACTACTTGACAGATGAGGAATTTGAGACACGAAGAGGTGAGGGGTCTTGCCCACCCAATTGTAAGTGGCAGAGCCAAGAGTCACCCCCTGACAACCTGCTCCAGTGTCAACCATCTTAACCAGCATATTTTCCATAAATTTTTCTTTTTTTTTTTTTTGAGACTGAGTCTCACTCTGTCACCCAGACTGGAGTGCAGTGGCACGATCTCGGCTCACTGCAACCTCTACCTCCTGGGTTCAAGTGATTCTCCTGCCTCAGCCCCTCAAGTAGCTGGAACTAAAGGCGTGTGCCACCACGCCTGCTAATTTTTTTTTGCATTTTTAGTAAAGACAGGGTTTCACCACGTTGACCAGGATGGTCTCGTTCTCTTGACCTCATCATCCTCCCACCTCGGCCTCCCAAAGTGCTGGGATTACAGGCATGAGCCACAGCGCCCAGCCCCATATCTTCCATAAATTTTTCATAGTCTATGAATTTCATTTCCACTTATTCATTTATTCAATAAGAATTTGACACAATCACACAATGACCAAGGCAATATTTGGACATTGGGATTAGAGCGGTAAACAAGATAGACTTTATACCAGGCTTTACGGAGCTTAGAATGTATGAAGGCAGGCAGACATGAAACAAGCAACTTCAAATGTGGCTGGGATCTCTTTTGCTAACATTTATCCACGCTCTTTTCCTCTTGTATTTTTTCATTTCCTCCCCACTCCTGCATCAAGCTCTTAGACGACCCTTTGCTTAGGGCCTCAGAGGAGGCATGAGGAGGCAGAGTGCAAGACATAACTTGTCTACCAACATTTCTAGCAATGAAAAATACCTAGAAAGACACTCCACCAAACTAGAAGTGAGGAAAGAGATCTGTAGTCTCTGAGAGCAAAGAGGGACCTAAGCTCTGCTTCCCAGCAGCACTTCCAGGAAAGCAACACCACAGAGAAATGGCCATGTGACGTGCCAGATAGACATGTGTGGGCAGCCTTGCAAAGGACTCCCCTGCCTGAAGCACTACACAGAAGTAGCAGAAAGATTCCCATGCCCCATAGGTGCAGTCATGACACACTAGGAGACCCTTCTGGCTAGCCACTCTCAAAGGGCAACAATACCTTTCCTTCCTGATACTTCCGCCTAGATGAATGCTGGAAAAACCCAGAAAATATATTTTCCTTTTCTAAAGACATACTGAATCAACACTTGGTATACAGAGATTAGGTTCTATTTTAGGAACTCTCCCTTGAGACGTAGACTCTGTTCTTCAACTTGGGCAAGGTCAGGATAAGGGCAATGGCAAAGGGTTATAAGGATTCCTGTGGGAGGTCAGAGTGATGAGAACAAGAGAGATGAACTAAAACATGCATTCCTTCGTGTGACAAATGTCTCTGGAATACATGCTATACGCCAAGTACAGCGAAAGAAGCTGCAGGGTTTCAAATCTAATGGGTGACAGGGAATTGTCATATGAATGTCAATCCACATGGAAAATGTGTTAAATTAGTGCTCTGGTTAGAGGAGCAGGCAGTACTTAAGCTTATTCTGTCTGAGGACTGGAGTAAGACTCCCATAAAGGTAGAAATTGAGACACGTGAAGATGATTAGGACCCTGGCATTGCAGTGAAGTGTGGACTGGAGGTTTCTGAAAGAAGGTATTCCAGTCTGTAGCACAGTGAACAAAGGAGAAGGAACACTCAGGAAATTCTGGTAAGGTGAGTTTGGCTGTGGTGAAGCACACACATTTTAGAGAAATGCCTGGAAAAATTGATAGGGCACAGATGTGGGAGGTCTTAAAAGAAGCTTCAAGAGGGAAGTAGTGGAAAGCCATGAAGGTTTTTATACAACGAAGGTGCCATGCCATGTGAGTATGAGGAAGACAATTCTGACAAAAGTAAAGAACAGATTAAAAGCCAAGATATGGTTCATGATCCTTCAACTGCAGTTCCAAAATCCAAAGTCTCTGAAGATAAACATTTTTTCATTTTTAGAAACTTTTTTTTTCTTTTTTTTTTTTTTAGACAGTGTCTTGCTCTGTCATGGAGGCTGGAGTGCAGTGGTGCTATCTCGGCTCACTGCAACCTCCGCCTCCCAGGTTCAAGTGATTCTCCTGCCTCAGCCTCCCGAATAGCTGAGACTACAGGTGCCCACCACCACGCCCGGCAAATTTTTGTATTTTTAGTAGAGATGGGATTTCATCATGTTGGCCAGGTGGGTCTCAAACTCCTGATCTCAGGTGATCTACACACCTTGGCCTCCTAAAGCGTTGGGATTACAGGCGTAAGCCACCGCGCCCAGCCAAAATATTTTTTCTTAAGTTTTAAAGTTTTTCCTCTTTGCAGGAAACTTATGTGATGGCAAAAACTTACTTGAACAGATGTAAGGCTATTTATGGTCATTAATAATCCTTCTAAGTGTGAATATGCATATGTTTCACTGTAGAATTTGATGGTTTGATTACAGGGTGTCTCAGGCCCCTAAGGGTGTCAGACAATATGCATAGCATGAACTAAATTAACTTTCTAATTCCTAAAAACCGTAAGTTCTGAAACACACTTGACTAATAAGAGTTTTAAGAAGGGATTGTGAGCCTAGTTCAAAATTAATGACAAAGAGCTCTTTAGCAGAACTAAAGATTATAGAAAGAGTGGTAAGTTTTGAATTTAAGGAAATGAATGTGGGTTTGAACAATAAAATGTATTAATTATAGAGAAGTCTAAAAAATGCCCTGTCTCAATATATGGCAATCTGCATTATATATTATAATTTATACCAGTTTGTAGTAATTAAAAATAAATCTACTTTTATGATTTCAGTGTTACATATTAATGAGAACTAGTATGATCAATTATCTGGTATACATCTTTTAATTAATTGCTTTAATGAATAAATAAGCACATTTATAATTAGAATCTGTTTTGCAAATAAACACAAAAAAAAACTGTGAAAATTTTTTCTTTTCATGAAATGAAAAAAATTCTCCAGAAGTCCTGTTTAGAAGGTCAATTTGATTGTCAAACACTGCATAAAAATCTGCTTAAACCTCCCTGTGGAAACAAAAATGGTGTAAAAGTGGGCTTGAATTCAGCCCCATCTGAATTTCCTGCAATATGCCTTTGAAATACAAATTTTGAATTGTGGAGCTCAAATTACAGTTTTTAATTGTCAAAAAGTCTTCTAAGATGGCGCAGTATAAAAATAGCATGCAATACAATAATATTTTGGAACTACATTTCTATAAAACCCAGGGTGCTCTTCAGTTGAGGTTGCCAGGTCAAGGACTCATCTCAACTTGAATATATCCTATCCATTTTCTGAAAGGAAACAGTCTACATCTGGGAGAGGAGGCATAGCATGGATCAGGAAAGAAGATCAGTAGCTGACAGAGCACCTGACACTAAAGGGAAAACAGGCATTTCTTCAGCAGCCTGTGAGAAAAACTCAACTTTTTTTTTTTTTTTTTTTTTTTTTGGCATGTTTCATGCTGGGAGAGAAAGCATAAGTGTCCTGCCATTCTCTGGGAACTCTATTCAGTACTCTGGTTTAATGAGTATTTGCTAAACATCCTTTGTTTGATATTAGATTGAGTTGACTCTAAAATTCCTTGGGCATGCACCCTTAATGGTAGCCTCTTTCCTATTCATGGAAGAAGTAGATGCCTATAATGGATGGAAAATCATCCTGTACTTCCTTGTATACCTCTGAAGTTTAACATCCACCCTAAATAAGGTTTAGCCCACAGCAAATGCCTGACAGCCCTCTGGGATAACTGAACTCTTCAAAAGTGACCTTAGCAACAAAAAGGTAATGGATTGCTTGGAACAGTAGAGCAGGGAGTAACATTACTTGCAATGGTACTCTTATAGGTACCTTTCTGTACTAGTTCATCTGGTCCTATTCTCCAACATCCTCCTTTAGTTCAAATCCTAATTTTGTAGTTTTCTCAGGGTTTGTTCAATTACACAAAAGTAAAATAGAGTCTGTTGCTTGAGGACATCCCTGAACTCTGCATGTTTCCCAAAGAGGCTAAAATATTTATTGCAATTTAGGACGTTTGAACATCCTGTAATTATTTTTATATTTGATGTCATTTGTACATATGGAGTAAACTGAAATGACTATAAGAACTTGGCAGACAATATAAATAAAGAAGCAGGTTTAAGACAAAAGGAAGTGGGGAGACTTGGCTGAATAGAAGAGTGAAGCTGGGGCTGAAAGGAAACAATAACTAATCCCTTGATTTTTGCCACAGATGAAAGCAGACCTAGTGTGGCTACATCTTCACCTGCTCCATGAGAAACAAGAAATGAAAGTCTTTTTTTAAGAAAAAATAAATGCTTCAGATTTTGATGTTTGTTAACAATTCAAATTTAGTTTACACACTTTATATTCCAAATGAAAATACATTTGATAGTAGGATTTTTCTCACAAATCACCAGTTAAAGATCTCTGATTTAGTGTTTTTGAGTGGTGAAATACAAACAAAACAACTGTAGGACTTTGCCTCATAGCACACTTAGCCCAACTGATAGAACTTTATTTTGTTGCATTAGCATTTGAGGAAAGGGTTACTGGTTCTGTATCAATTACACATTGTAATTCAGAACACTGATTCTTAAATCATAAAAATGTCAAAATATGATTGTTATACACTATCTCTAGCAGGAATAAGAACAGAAGAAAGTATAATTCCTTTTCGAAAAGGACGTAGCTACTTCCCATAGTGATTAATTCATTTGGGAGGAGTCCCATGATTTGCTGTTAATGAAAGAGGCTGTTGTAATCTACATGAGAATTATGGTTTCTCTGGGAATGTCAAAACCGAATTTCCTGACTTCTGTGAAATTAAATCTAAACTTTAGAATGATATAAATATTGAAAAATCATAAAATAAACTTTCTACTTTTTGGTTTTAATTTCCTAGTTGTGGTTGATAATGTTGTTATTTAACGAAATGCAGTACATTTTTTATATTAAATAGTGTATCACATGCTATCATGTTTATTATATTTAATTCTTAAAAGTGATATTTATTCGCACATATAATTTACTCGAAATAACTACACTGATAATATTCATATTTAACCTCAAAAGTCTTTTATACTTCCAAATCTCAAGTACTTTTATGCTTCCAAATTTAGATAATAATAAGGCAGACAAAAATGTCAAGAGTAAAGATTAGATTGTCTTCGTTACTGAAAATGAGGGCTCAAAATATGCCTTAGGTGCAATTTTGAATAGGAACAATTCTTTCTTTATTTAAATGTACTTAATATTCCATTTATCAAAGAAAATTGTCCATATATAATAGAAAAAAAAGATTTTCTCTTTTTATGGTTACATGAATTAATTCAAAGTGTAACATGGTCTTTCAACTTAGTAAATTTTAAATGATATATATGCATTATTTGCTGTTAAATAAAAGAGAAAAAAAGGGAATGACAATGCTCTGGGTTTGAAACCATAACTAATCAAGACCAAGGAAAAAACTTTCTCTGATATCTTAAAATATCTAAAAGCAATAGCCCAATTTACAAACTACAGATGTATGTTATAAATCTTTTTTTTTTTAAAATGGGTCTTCGATTTCAGTACCCATAGCAACAAAGTTTATGTTTTAAAAACCAGGTGGCATCTGGGATACCGAGATAAGTGACCAGTTCTACCACCTCATTAACTACAAGTTTTATGACTCACATATGTGGTTAAAAAATTACAAGGTGTATGTCTGTCATGTCATTATTAAAATTGAATTGCTTATTTTCACATAAGGGACTGTCAATCATTCTACCTGGGTGATACGGGATTTTAGCAAGTAAGACACATTAAAGAGAGTAAGAAGTTACTATTTTATAGCTCTGGGATGAAGCTTCATAACATTATAAAGAGTTGAGATTAAGCTTCATAAACTTTAATTGTTCAATTGTCCATGTTTCTTGACTTGTGAAATGTTGGGGAAGTTAATGTTGGAAAAGTGGCACAAAACGAATTTGACTAAGAAAAAAAAAGATTTTTCAAGGGAAATGTGAGTCAACTTTTGTACAAGGCGTAATTATCCAATTTGTGAATTACTAAGGGCCTAATAATTCACAAATTGCAGAGTGGACTTCCCTTCCCCTCTCCTATTCTTTGTAGGATTTCCTTCTTTATGAATATCTTGATTACAAATAAGGAAGGAAATAAAAAAGGAAGTGAAAGTCAATCCAAGGATTAACACAGAAGAGTAGCATGGAACATTATGATCTGTGTCAGGAGCACTTGGGCTCCATGAAGACTGGGAGGAATTTCTAAGGGCAACAAAAAGAGTATATTCCGTTAGATTCAGACACAGAAGCATAATAAAATAATAGATCTATTTTTTCAGTCAACTGACAATAAATGTGAATAGTTGATAGAAGAAAGCAGTAGCAACCAGTTCCTATTTAGCTTCTAATTCTCTGTCAAACAGAAAAAAAATATAGTTGTTTGAATTAAACATTGCCACAAATACTGGTGTATTAAATGCCAAGAAAAGTGAAGAGATTACTAATGAAAACTTTGCAAATATAAATGTGTTTTAGCCAAATAAACAGCTTTCAAAATACTGAGCATTTGCCAAAAAAAAATTATTCAACCATTCGTATCATTTTTTTGGGAACTGTGAAAAGTGCAAGAAGAAATAGAAGAGAGAAAAAGGTAGCTCTGTGAAGTATATACAGATTGCTAAAATTTGTATTGACCTAAGTTAAGATGAGAATATATTATTAAAAGGATTGTTGGTGAAAATTTATAACAGAATACTAATTTTATTTAGTTTTTTAAAAGGGTTATTAGTAGGTGGATGCACTTATGTAACTGGATTTCAGCAAGTGGTATGCCGAGGTTTCTTATATTATCCTTAGATTGTATATTGAGAAATCTGAACTGAAAATCAATGACAAGAATGGATTTATAACTGGTTGAACAATCTACACAGATAATAATACTTAACCAGTCACACAGTTCAGGACCTCAGGACTGATCCGTTTAATACATGTTATTTTTGTTTGTTTGTTTTTGAGACAGAATTTTGCTCTTACCTCCCAGACTGGAGTGCAATGGCGCAATCTTTGCTCACTGCAAACTCCACCTCCCAGGTTCAAGTGATTCTCCTGCCTCAGCCTCCCGAGTAGCTGGGATTACAGGTGCGTGCCACGGCACCCAGCTAATTTTTGTATTTTTAGTAGAGACGGGGTTTCACCATGTTGGCCAGACTGGTCTCGAACTCCTGACCTCAGGTGATCCACCTGCTTTGGCCTCCCAAAGTGCTGGGATTACAGGCATGAGCCACCACACCCAGCCTCAATATATGTATTAATGAAACAGTCCTCTCAAACTTTGGGTGTGGGAATGATTTTTGTCTCTACATGAATGTCTGTTTCTACATCTATATCTCAAATCTCCAGGAAATGGGAAAGAGGAAGAAATGTAATGTTTGTTGGATTGCAGAATCAGAATCCAGAGGGGACCTCAACAGGATGGAATGATGAGAGTGGTATACTAACATGGAATAAAAGAAAGTAACGGTGTGTGAATCCAATAAACAAGTTACATAAATACACAATTGAGGAGCTAATAGTAACAGTAAAAAAAATTTTAGAATTTAAGTCAGTAAATTTATACATTAATATATGATATGGCTGCCAATGTTATTTCAAGCTCATCTAATTCCAGACTGTATTAACATAAACAGACACATACACAGGTAGGTTTTATCCCAAACACATTTATCCAGGCCCACCTGGATAAATGTGTTTGCTTTCTATACATTATCCTTTAAGGAGGACATAGAAGCATGAATACAGAACCAGGACGGTAAGAGGGGAAAAACTGTTCACATGAGGACTGGATGAAGAAGATGGGCTTGGAGCAGGAGAAGATGAGATGGGACGTGAGAGGTATTTTAAACAGGCTGAAAACTGAAGGGAGAGCACAGAGCAGAACCACCACCACCACCACATGGTGTATTCAGTTTAGGCTGGGCCATCACTGTCAAAGAATGTAACCAGTAATGGAAGAGCTTTAAGGTTCATTTCACCCATGAGCTTCAGTGTTTCTATAAACCACTGAAGGATAGTCATGTGGAAGAATAATTAGTTCAGAAGACAGGACTGAAACTAAATGTATAGGAAGTAGAAAACGGTAGATGTTGATTCAAAAGAAGGAACAATAAATATTTGTTGAATGAATGATTGAATTATTTTGTAATCTTAGAACTGTCTATGATTAGAATAGTCTGCTTTTTAAAAGAGTGAGTTCCTTGTTACTGAAAATGTTTGAATAAAACTCAGCCTAGGACACCCCGTAGAAGTTTTTAGGTAATTAGCTGGCAGGGCCGATTGTCTAAATGGGTGAAGTGGGTTTGTTTTGCAGTTATAAGAAAAGGTTTGATGAGGCAGCAAGTGAATTTCTCTCATCCATATTATCTTCCCCCTCATCACTCTTTTAAAATAGGACAACTAACGTTTATCTAGAAAGCCTTTCTGGCACTGTCAAACCATTTTTAATTCTAATAAAAAGCAAAATGTGACCTCTTATATTACCCAATAGTTTAAAACACTATAAGAAAAAAAATTCAGATGCATTCAACTCTTTCCCATAAAAGGAAATATAATCTACCATATAGGATTCTATTTATGTTGTCTTTTTTATTTTTTAACTTTTGGACGATCTCATTAAATTCTATATTTATTGCACTCAGATAAATTAACTTTCAATTTATTTTTATATCAAGGTGGACACAAACAAAAAAAAATCAAATAATACTGACCCAAATCAGTTCTTCCTCTTAAGATTTGTCAATACAACCATAAGGGGTAACTCCAAACAATTCATGATCTTGTTCCTCTTTGGTGCCTCAACAGGGCAATTTTGTTAGAAATATTTATAAGGGAAAATGTTCCATTAACCCAACTGCACAAAGAAAACCCAGAAAATATATATAATAACTTAAAACATGGGTGTTTCTAGAAGTATACGGACTAGTATTATAAATGAAATTATTTGGGTCCAACAATGAAAACATATGCAACTAAATATGATATGATTCTAAATATCTATGAACTTTGGCAATGACCTATATAAGATATCTAAGCTAGATCATCTTAGGTAATAAACCAACATTTTTTTAAAAAAAACCTCTAGGAAATTCTGAAATTTAGAGTCCCATTTTTCCTTAAAGGAGTGACTCTGAAATTCTCCCCCTCAAAGTCTCCTATGTTTCTAATTTTAAACATATGCAATTAAAAGACTAAAATTCATCTTTTTAACATTATTTACATGTTACTTAACGATGGTTATTCTATCTACAACTGTGCTAACTTTCTAAAAATTCTGTTATTCTATAATTTATATTTTAAACAAAAAAATCTTGAAGATAACATAAATTCTGTTGGAATCTTGATGTAAAACTACCAAGTTTAAACTATACTAATTTTAATCTTTGAGCAGACTGGTATACTAATAAAAATTCTACACTACCACAGACTGAAAACCACAAGTATAAAAATAATTCGATAAATTTTAAAATAAACAGTATGTAATTATGTTAAAGGCACTATTATAGCCTTTTTTTCTAGAAAGTAAATGATTCATAATTGTTTTGTGATCTATGTGTTTGTATATTTTGATGGACTCTGTCATCATAACATCAAAAGCAAAATCATCTTAATATCTAATCCAGGTATTGCAAACTCCAATGCCAACAGAAACTGCATGCATATTTAAGTAAATGGAACAGGTTGGGTGTCACTGGGGATAATCCAAAATGCATGTCCTACCTAAAGCAGACAGACTCCATTCACCTTCAGCCAACCTTCCTTATAAAGGAAGGTAAACTCAATGGTGCCAGCTTTTTAAATTTCTCAAGAGAAATTTTTAAATAAGATTTATATGAAATTGCCCAATATTAGCAACTAATCTGGGAAAGAAAAATGAAATGTATCTACTACCAAAATCTGGTTCACAGGTTACCAGTTTGCAGCCTCTAATCTGCTCCTTTGTGAATTACTAATTTAAAATATAGAAGGAAGATTGCACCAAATAGTGAACACATTCCAGTAATAGGAAAAAATAAAGACATTGAATTCCTTTTCCCCACTACAACCAAAGGTGTCAGACCCTGCCCTAAAAAGAAATTCCATATAAGTTGTGACAGTTTCTCAAACTACAACCCTGTTGGCACATGCCATTACATTTGACACATTCTAAAAATCTTGACTTATTGTAACAGTTATAATATACAATTCTGGGTAGATACAATGACTCAAACTTTGCATTCTTCTCTGACACATTTTATTAGAAGTACATGGCTCCAAAGTGGAAGTAATACCACAGACCAGTATAGAGTTACAGCACTAACATTCAACATTGTACTGGTGACATAGCAAGCTTTCTCCAATTCAATTTTGTTTGACTTTTCTGCCTAAAAATGTAAAATGAAGGGTGAAGTTGTAAATCTCTACATTAGCTTTCTGAACAAATCCAAAAAGTCTAATAGATCTCCAGATATTCCCCTCTTCCTGAAACTCCTCAAAATTCATTTCCTTTTATAAAATTTTTGAATAATTGCAAATGACTACTAAAGAAAAGGCTGCAAGACTGAAAAGTGATTTTGTACTGAACTTATTTAAAAAGGCAGCAAAAATAGAATGGCTTCATAATGTTGTATTCTAGAGTTTCCTAATATAGAAGATCCTTCAGAAAATTCACTTTGTCAACATAGAAATAATGTGTTTATCTATGCCAGAAAATGAAATAATGTGTGTAGTGGGGTAAAGCTCTTAACACAAACAGTAGTTATCCATTTGGCAGAGAAAGAAAAAGAGATTGTTCAGAGACAACATATTCCTTACTATTCTTTTCATCATCAAAATTATAGTGATTGTCAAATATATTACACATTTTTTAAAAAACGAAGATATACCACCAAAGAAATGTAAAACATTAATAAAAATGGTTAAATTGTAGCTAGTGGCTTTCTACCATATCATGCCTATAAGCCATGTTACCAAAGACAAAATACAGTAATTTTTGGTGTTCAAAACATGAGATAAAATTATGCCAGTGGTTTAAAATCTTTTCAATGCTATGTTCTCAAAGCACAGTTCAGTAGGATAAAAAATGAACTGAGGATAGGGAAGAATCAAGGCTGAAAAATTACAAAGTGCTGCTATAACTTCTGTTAAATTCAAGGACTACGTTAGAGCCCCCTTTGTATCTAGAAGTTTACATTCCTAAAAGGAAGCTTTGGTGCTGGCATTCTAGAACCATCTTCTTCAACCACTACGAAATAGAAAGAAAAGATATATCTAAGAAAAGTCATCTGTCTCTTGAATTAGTCTCCAAGTTTTCTCTAAGATCGAAGTCAAGGTAAATATTTGCTTTTCAAGATTATCTTGAAAACGTGTGTGGACTCTATTTGGAAGTCAGAGCCAGTCTTTGATGCGATCATCAAGAACTTCCACTGTGCTTGCTTCCATCTCACTTTGCAAAGAAATATTAAGAATGATTTCCTTGCATGTTAAGGTATGCAAGGTAGCACTAAATTATTGTTAATTTACATTCTCTTTAATCCTGAAATGCTACACTGAATAGAAAAATACTTTTTAAAAAACAATTAATTAGAAGATGAGGAGCTTAACAATTTTTGTGCAAAAAGCTAAGGAAGATATATCAAGTTAATCTAAAAAGCTTCATAGATTGCTTTGAACATTCACCTATCTTTTCTTAACAGGAATCAGAGTATAAACAAGAATAGGTTCACATTTGTGCATGTTTAGATCTTGCATATGTGGAGAATCTGTATTTATGGACAACTCTGCTTCATAAAGACATTATTGGTGAGTGTAATTATGAGTAAGTATTCACACACAGAGATGTGTATATAAAATATACCTAGAGATAGACTAATTCCTATCAGTGAGAACTGAAATACGTTCACACACTAGCATATGGAATGAGATACAGTACAATATTTTAAACAACTGGCTATAAAAGGCAAGTGTTTGATAATTCTTAATATAAGAAGTAATTCATAAATCTTGCAAAAGGCAATCCAAAACGTATTATTTTGATTGTCTTTTGCAAGATTTGCCACTTAGTTTTCAGTCGCATATGATGACAGCATATGCAACTTCAAACTAAGGCACATCTCAGAAGGTTCTCCTGTTCTGTTCTGTTCTGTTCTGTTCTGTTCTGTTCTGTTCTGTTCTGTTCTGTTCTGTTGTTGTGTTGTGCTGTGTTGTGTTGTGTTTGGGCATCACTCCCTCAGTCACTTCCTTCATTCTGTACTTCCTACCTCACCAGTGGAAGAATTTCCCTTTAGCAGTCCCGGAAATATAACAAAGTGATGGCTTCCTTTCAATGATGACAAGGTCAAGATTTTGGCAAGAAATTTCAAGATTGGGCCACAATTTTAATAGTCTAGCTAAGTAAATTAAGTCAGCCTCTAAAAATAATAAGCCTGATGAAAGGCCAAAGTAATAAAAATATGTTTGAAAACAACTGAATGTATTCTTAATTAAAAATTTGATTGTATCTCCCTTAGATTTTTCTTCCCCTGCCAATAAACAGAATATTCAGGCTGACATGTTCTTTTGAAGACATCGCAAATGAGACAGGAATTACCACCTGTTGTTCTCTTGTCCTTCCTAATGTTACAGTTAGTTCCTGCCATTTCCCGTTGCATCCCACAGGCTTCAAGCCAGGACAGCACTCTCACTCTGCCATGGCAATTTCTCTCTCTCTTTTTGTTTTCCACCACCATTTCTCTACCTCGATTCTTTTTTTTTCTTTTTTTTTTGAGACGGAGTCTCGCTCTGTCACCCAGGATGGAGTGCAGTGGCAGGATCTCGACTCACTGCAACCTCCACCTCCCGGGTTCAAGCGATTCTCCTGCCTCAGCCTCCCAAGTAGCTGGGACTATAGGCGCTACGACCAGCCAGTTTTTGTATTTTCAGTAGAGACAGTGTTTCACCACGTTGGCTAGGATGGTCTTGATCTCCTGACCTCATGATCCACCCGCCTCGGCCTCCCAAAATGCTGGGATTACAGGTGTGAGCCACTGCACCCGGCCCTTAATTCTTAATTATAAGGAATTACTTTAGGCCTGAAGCTGACTAAAATACCTGTACTGAAAAGAGTATCCTATGTAACCAGTTCTTTGATGGTTTGGAATGCTACACTGGAGGTTTTTGATACTACCTTTCCATCACTGACTCTTGTCAACCAGATTCGTGCTAAATTCACAAGCTTATAAAGCATGATAAGAATGCCCGGAAGTTCTTGGTACGTGGAACTGTAAAACCAACAGTATTGTTATTATTATTATTATTACTATTGTCTATGTTTGTGTTAAATAATTCATTTGTGCTAATAAAACCCACTAGTGATCAATAAAGGTTTCTCTCAATATCAACATTTTTCAAGCAAAGTTTAACTGGCTTCTAAGAGATGAAAAGCAAACCTTCCTCACTCCCCCAAAGTCACTGTAGAATTACATTTGAAGTAGGGCCTTGCAACTGACATCCTTTTCCTACAAAGCCAGTCTTGTTTGCCAATTGTGATTTACAGGCTGTGTCTGCTACAGGGGGCTGCTGGACACATTAGTGCAGGTATGCTTATGAAAGGATGCTGCTGTCTGGCATTAAATGACTTTCCAGAGACCCATCTTGTTCAGACCTACAGGAACTGTTCTCCCTGAACATCATCTGTCAATGCATAAGCCATTATTCCACCCATTCTGAAGGGAAGAATCAAAAATATAATCCTGCCCTCCAGTCCCTTCTGTAAATCGTGATGCACCATTAAAATCTGCTGTTTTATGCTTTCTTGACTTCTATTTGGTTAATTCACTTCAAATATTTCCAGTTGCAACTATAATTCTATATTAGGGAGTGATACAAAAATAATGGTGGTAATAATGTTCAATTTTGTTAGTGTAAATTGTTTATAAATTGCTGTATTTTCTATCCACAATATGTTCATTATTCATGGGTATTACCAGCTAAAGTATAAATTGGATTTTTTTTGTCCATTTCAAATACAGGTTTTAGTATATTTACTAAAAGCCTTACATTCTCTATATAATATTGAAAGTCATCAACCCCAAATCGACCTTCACATTTTAGCATATGCTTCCATTGTAGGCGTTAGTGCAACTCATGGCTCTACATTACATGAATTAATAAATCTAAAAATCTTATATTTGGATTCAAGTAAAAAAGCTTGCTTAAATATAAGACAAAGAATAAAACCTTCCGTATAGTTTCATGTTTGAGAGAGGATTATTAATATATTACTTATCAAGGAAGTCTTTAAATTATGTAACCAATATTTTATAAAAAGCAGCACTTGTAAAAATCCCAACAAAAGAAATATAAATGGAATAATATTAAATATATACATATACAAATATATTCTCTTTCGATTAAAATATGTCATTCTACTTAATTTCAAGAAAAATGTGAAATAGTGCCCCTAAGCCTGAAAAGATAAGGCATACATCCAGGGATATATGTCACATGAAAAAGTAAGAATAATATTGCAGTTTACATGAACAATAAGCAGAAAAGTGTGGACAAATGAAATCTCTTTACTCCATAAAATGGAAATAATTATTTACATATCATATGTAAATAATATCATAATTAAATAATGTGAATAATTTAATTAAATAATGTGAATATTAAATTAAATTAATAAATTAATAAATAGTAAATAAGAAAATTAATTAAAATAAATAATGTAAATAATCAAATAATTATTTACATATGAAGGTCACTGTACTCAAAAGACAAAAAGGAAATCCAATCGTTATTTAAACTGGTTGGTATCATTTTCCAGGATTTCTTGTCAGAGGATGTGCTTAGGATTGGATTTTGGCTTTGGTTTTGATTTTAATATCTCTGTGGTCATTAATAGAATTTTCAGTTAAAGGCTCACATCTCAGGCATTTCACTACTATACTATTTTATATATATAAGCATTTTGCAAAATGTTCCTTCTTACTTTCATATATTTTGTATAAAAGTTTACTCAACTGAATTACTATATTTATTCAGTAGGGATAGATTTACTTACATAATCTTTTAAGGACATATATACAAGATTTAAAGTGACATAATATAGGTAGAGCCATTATTCCTCATCCTTTCCAAATCTCTTTTTTTCATATTTGATGAGCCCAGCCATTCAACCACTAACACTGAGATAAAATTTACAACACTGAATTCCAAGGAAATATTGTCAACACATCTACCATTGTTTGTAAAAAATAATTTATTTTCTAAATTGACCGATATTAGGACAAATTTACAAATATTCCTGGGTTCAATTCAATGCAACAACTTTTTAGTGGGTTGAAGTATGACACAGAACACTCTAAAGAGAATTCTGATTAGAAAATCCCTATGATAAGAACATGTGCAAATCTTAATGAGCTTACTGTTTCCATGCCAGCTTCTGAATCTGGAAAGTGTTAAAATAATTTTCTCATAATTTATTTCTTTCCATTGTGTTATATCCATTCCCTTTTCTCAGGCAATACATTCAGTACCCAATGAGTAGTATATTCATTAAGGCTACAGAGAAAGGCAAGGGTTAAACAAATAAGGACATCAAATTAATATCCAGGCCTAAATGTTTTAGCAGAGCCAAAAAATCTTTAATCATTCAAGTCAACAAAGGTTAAGATAATAAAATAAACTTCTAAATGCTTTCCTTTTCTGGAACTTAATCTGTCTTGCCAAAGATGTTTTTAAGATGCTATCAGTTTTGCATAGTCCCAGCTGTTATGAAAATTTACTCGAATACACTAGGAGGAGAAAGGAATTTTATGAAAATGTGAAGCAGAGCTTCTGGGTGGCTTATTGAAACTGTGAGAGCTTAGGACTCATTTAAAACCAGCTGTTGGCTGATGATGTCGAGACCAATAACCACTAAATCTCCTATTTATCAGGACTCTGTGTTATTTGGCAAGGTGATAGTAACCAACTGATTAGAAGATTAATATATAATCAAAAGATAACTTCATGACGTTTCTTCATTTTATTGCCTAAGTTTGATTAATAAATTTGCCACAATTTCAGAAAAACATAGTATTCCATTTTAAAAAGTCATTATTAAACATTACAACAGCTTTGCTTATTTTTAAGGCTATGTTTTTAAGTCACTAAGATAGAGAAAAGAAATATGAGCCATTATCATCAAAGCCCTGGGTGTCACTGTGATTCCAGGGCTATGGTTCATGATGAGGGCAGAGGCTCTTATGAACTGGGCAAACAAAAAGCCCTCTTTAATGATGAAGAGAGACAGCGGTAGCAGTAGTGGGTGTAGATGACAACGGGAGAAGCATTAAAAGTCTTGAGACTTTTACAGTTGACACTGAAGTTCTGTTACTGATAAAGAAATGAAGTTCATTTTTTTGCAAAGAGGGACTTAGAATAAAAGTGGAACAACAACATAGCTTATAGGTTATGCAAACTCAGCATTATGAAGAGCAGAAAACAAATTTCATCCATCTGGTTATCCTGAAGAAACAATTACTAATAGCAAGTATAAGCAAGATCTTGATATGCAATTTTCTTTTTAAAAAATTTTTAAGACTGGTGTGATAATATATACAATTTTCGAATAGGTGCTATTGAGTTGAGAAGTAAAATCTGTATTATAACAAGGTAATTGGGTGTTCTTACAATCCTTGGAGGGGGGCCAACATTGCCCTGCCTCTCTTTGCTCCATATAGTGAGTTCTAAGGTATTACTCAGTGACATACAGTTTCTAGGGTATTACTATGTGGTGATCATTCATTCACTTATGTTTTGGGGGGTATTACTATATGGCCATTCATCCATTCATATGTTTTCTGTTGGGTTGACAGTGTGTGGCCTGCATAAACTGAGTCTATCATAATTACAAAGAAAAAATATCCACCTATTTGTGCTTGTGTTCCCCAGCTTTTTCAGTCTTATTCACAGAGGCCTGGGATTTTCAAGTTGAAAGGGTTCCTAGCAGCAATCTGGAGGCAGCTTGATAGCAGGATTTGAAATTGGCGTTGAGTCCCAACACTGTCTTTTGGTAAATGTATGTGAAAGAACTTGAACAAGTCACTTAATCTGCTTGAGTTCAATCCTCATCAGAAAAATAAAAAATCATAATAAAGTTGGCCATGCGCAGTGGCTCGCACCTGTAATCCCAGCACTCAGGGTAGGCTGAGGTAGGCACATCACTTGAGTCCAGGAGTTCGAGGCCAGCCTGGGCAACATGATGAAACCCTGTCTCTACTAAAAATTAAAAAAAATAGCTGGGCATGGTAGTGTGTGCCTGTAGTCCCAGCTATTCGGGGGACTGAGGCAGGAGGATCACCTGAGCCTTGGGAGGTTGAGGCTGCAGTGAGCCGTGATTGTGGCACTGCATTCCAGCCTGGCAACAGAGTGAGACCCTGTCTTAAAAGAAAAGAAAGAAAAGAAAAGAAAAAAAGAAAAGGAAGGAAGGGAAGGGAAGGGAAAAAGGAAAGAGAGAAAAAGAGAGAAAGAAAGAGAGGAAAGAAAGAAAAAGAAAGAAAGAAAAAGAAAGAAAAGTTTTATTAATACGTGTTCTACTAACTTACAGCATTA
Source organism: Homo sapiens (assembly GCF_000001405.40). Lineage (NCBI taxonomy): Eukaryota > Metazoa > Chordata > Mammalia > Primates > Hominidae > Homo > Homo sapiens. Next base: position 108,967,019 of record NC_000004.12, read on the forward strand.
CTTTACAGGATAAATGAGAGAATACATGGAAAATGTAGTCTGTAAATACCTAGGTTCAAATTCTGGTTCTGCCAGTGAGTGATTATTATTTTGGACAAAATATTTAAATTTTCTAAGTCTTGGTTTCCTCATCCATTAAATGAGAATAATAAAAGTAAGTATTTCATAGGGTTGTTGAAATAAGGTGTGACATCATAGAGTGATTGGCGTATTTTAGGAACTCAATTAAAGTATCCTTATTGTTATTATTTCAAACACAGATATTTCTGTAACCCCTATCATTTCACATTAATGTTGATGACTTTATAACAACTACCTTATTGATAGGGAAGCAGTCTTGTTCACTGAAAACAGAACAAACTAGAAGCTGAGAAAGCCAGGTTTAAATCCCATTTCTACCACTTACAATTTATGTCAACTTGGGCAAGTTACTTTACCCCATATTCCTCATATGAAATATGGGAAGAAAAATCAGGTATGGTTTGTTGAGAGCTTATTACAGATTTTTTCATATACTACTTTATTAATCCTGATCATAATCATAGATAGTGGTAGTTAGAATTTGATCCCTGTCCAGCCTGACTTCAGCCCATGTGGATAATCATTTTACTCAACTGCATCCACTTTTCCCGTTTTCCTCCCTGATAATCTATCTCTCTGCACTATAGTAAGGCTTAGAGATGATGTATGCAACTTACCTAGAAAAGTATCCAGCAAGTTGTAAGACTAAGCTATAGGCAATTATAATTATTATGTGAGGTCTTATTTCCTAGTCCAACTTTCTTATTCAACCTAGGAATCCCCGACAACTTCCTTTCAGCAGGTTGTGTAATCTCTACTTAAATACAAGGTAAAGTCATAGCCTCAAAACTTTGCAATACAAAGCTATGAGGATGAAATAAAGAGAATCAATTATCTCTTTACGCCCGGATACTCTATGCGTGGTGACCGACAGCACAGATAAAGCACCATCCCAACCCTAAGCCTAAAGGCCTAATGAAATGCAGTGTTTGGAAGAATGAATTAAAGATTAGTGGCAAATCTGCAATGACATCTCCCCAGGAATCAAGGCGGGAAGTACAATTCTTATGTCAGGATGCATTCATTTGTGGAAATCTAACACTCAGTGCCTCGTAGAATAAAACCAAATGATATTTGTGGTTATTATATTACACCTAAAACTGTAGGCCTGAAATTGGTTCAATGTATACTGAAAGAAAGTTAATGCCGAAAAGTTAGCCCACTTTCTCCTGCATTAAATCATATGCCATCAACTGTATTCAAAGACGGTCAACTTTCCTACCATTACCTTTTAACTTCTTGCAATCTGACTTCCACTCTCACTACTTAACAAAAGATATTCCTTTAATAGCCCATGACTCCAAAACAGCAAATCCAAAGGCTTTTGAAAGACCTCATCCCTGAGGCTCTCTTTTTATTCAGAATATTATATTGGCCACTCTTTTTTTTTTTTTTAAGTAGTTTTGTGTGTGGTGTTCACACAATGCAGTGTCCTGCTTCTACCTTCAAATGCTCTCCTTTTGCTGACACTCCTTCCTTCCTCATCCCACTCCGTAAGTGTGAGTATTTTTAAAGACTCTATTCTAGGGCAGTACTCTTCTTACTCTTTTGCCTACCATGTTTCTAATTCCAGGATTTCAATTCTCCCTCTGTGATAGTTCAGCTGTGTAACAGTTACCTCCAGTTATGGCACTGCCTCAGAATTCTAGTCTCATGTTTCTGTTTGTTACACTATTCCAATGAAATATCTCATCAAGATCACGAATTCAACATAATTAAAATCCATCTTCTCACTTATCCTCCCAACTTTCTTCTGACCTATTTTATCAAGCATCAAGCCAGAAACTTTAGCCCTATCTTTGTCTTCTTTTTCAACTTCATCCCCTACATCCAACTGGCTTCAAGACTGGTCTTGAATTTTCACCTCAGCGTCTTTCCATTTCACTTCCTGACTGCTTTTTAAAAAAACTTTAACCTGACTACAACTCCAGGGTCACAGGTCCTCAGTGTCAGCTGAATAGGGACACTTGTTCAAGTGTCCTCAAGACTCCTCCCTCACCAAATGCTCCTCTATCAGTGTCAGCCCTGATTTCCCTCTTTGTCTACTCAGGTGTTTGCTTGGCACTTGGGGTAAACCTTATTGATTGGATGACCTAAGTTCCCTTTCAGCCCTATTCCCCTTGTCCCTTCCAGCTTTTGGATGACTGTGTGACACAACCTAGCCAATGAGACATGACCAGAAGTCTACTAAGAAGTTCATAGGGAAAATGTTGCTTTCTTGATTCAGACTCTTTCCTCTCTATCCTTCCTGCTGATATACGCCTAGATGCAATGGTTGGACTTGAAGCAGGCTTCCTGCAATCATGAGACAAGGCCAAGAGATTCACAGACTTAGTAACATCATTGAATCAACAGTAACACCATTTAATTATATACATAACACTATCAACTGCCTTCTCCAAACTTCTTTTTATGTGAGAATAATAAACTCATATCCTAGCTTTCATGGTGAAATTGGAGCTTTTGTCCGTATTTTGGTGACCACTTTGGAATCTCTTTCTTGGTTCATCAACTTACCACCTCCCACTCCACCTCTCTCCCTAACCCCCGCTGAAATTCTACTCTGACACTGACCTTTCTACTCAGTATGTGTCCTTGCCTCCAATGATACCTGATGTTCCATGCTAAGTCAGCTCATCCGTTCTGCTTACCTCTCCACTGAGGACTGGACATTGTCTGTACAGCCTAGATTCTTATGACTTTGTCCTAAATGAGTGACATAGTTTCCTGGTCTACTTGGTCACCCTGCTTTCAGTCTCTTCCAATTGTATTCTATAGCAGATGCTACCACCAAATATATATATATAAAATAATTGTTTTGAGCCCAAGTCTCACTCTGTTGCCCAGGCTGGAGTGCAATCATGCTATCTTGGCTCACTGCAACCTCCACCTACCAGGTTCAAGTGATTCTCCTGCCTCAGCCTCCCAAGTAGCTGGGATTACAGGCACTCGCCACCACGCCTGGCTACTCTTTGTATTTTTAGTAGAGATGGGGTTTCACTATGATGGCCAGGCTGGTCTCGAACTCCTGATGTCAGGTGATCTGCCTACCTCAGCCTCCCAAAGTGCTGTGATTACAGTGGTGAGCCACTGCATCTGGCCTCTAAAATATTTTTATAAAGAACATTTGGTAATAAGCACAGATAGTCTCAAAATAAGATAAGCACAGATTACTCAAAATTCTCAATGGCTCTCTAATGCCTACCACGCTAGACATTCAAAATGCTCCATAATATAACTTCAATCCAAAATTTTCCATCTATATGACACAATATTTTACTTAACCTACTTATTGGCAAATGGAATATTATTTTTTAGGGTCCTTTTTAAAACTTACTTTTAATTGACAAATACAAATTATATATATACTGTTACATATGTTGTTTTGAAATATGTATACATCATGCGATGGCTATATCAGGCTAATTAACATTTGTATTACCTCACATCCTTATCTTTTTTGGTGAGAACACAATGTACTCTCAGCAATTTTCAAGAATACAATATATTGTTATTAACTGTGGTCACGTTGCTGTACAGTAGATCTGTTGAACTTATTCCTCTTATCTAACTGAAAGTTTGTATCCTTTGACCAACATCTCCTAAAACCCTCCCCACCAGCCATGGGTCACCACCATTAAATGCTCTACTTCTATGTATTCAACTTCTAAAAATTCCACATATAAGTGAGATCATGCAGTTATTTATCTTTCTGTACCTGCCTTATTTCACTTAACATAATGTCCTTCAGGTTCATCCATGCTGTTGGCAAATGAAAAGATTCCCTTCTTTTTTAAGGTTAAATAGTATTCCATTGTGTATACCACATTTTTAAAAATCACAAATGGAATATTATTGTTCCTTAACTAAATCCTGCCATTTTCTACTTGGATAATATTGTTTATACTATTTCCTCTTCCTGGAATATGTACTGTCTTGCTCTTCAGTGTATCCTCCTAAAGATTACCAATTTATCAAGTTCTAGCTCAAGTGTCACCTCTTCCACAGTTGACAGTGCTCATTTAAAATGAAAGAATTTTCACTTTTCTAGCACCTCTTGGTATATCTATTTGAGGGATATAACATATAACCACACAGTTTTCTTACTCAGGTACCCATGAAATTATCAGCTTCTTGAGGGCCATAATGATATAACAATATTTTATTCATACATTCAACAAATATTTATTGAATCTTCACTATTCTATGTGAAGGGGTATGAACAAGACAGAGAAGAACCTTGCTTTTATGGAATATAGGACCTAAGGAGGGAGGGGGGCATACTTTATAGATAATGAGCAAGTAAATACATAAACAAGATAGAATAATCTCTGGTTCAGATTGAGTAGTTAGAGAAGTTCTCTCAGAGGAGGTGATATTTGAGATGAAGTTTCAATGATAAGAAGAACCCAATCACAAGAAGACCAGAAGAGGGCAAATGGAAAGCTGTCGAGTTGGGTGAAAGTGCAGTGTGTCTGAAGAGGACATGGAGGACAGTGTGTGGCTGAGTGTTGTAGGTGGAGGCAAGACTAGTGTGAGATGAACTGGTGGGGATGGGCAAGAGCTAAGCACAGCAGGTTGGATTTCATTCTAAAGTTTTACACAGGAGTAACATGATCTAATTTACAATGTCAAGTGATCTCTCTGCCTGCTGTGTAGAAAATGGATTATATAAGGTTAAGAGTGGAAATAGAAAGATTAATTGGAAAGCCACTGAAGTAATCAAGAACATGAAAGTAAGTTGAATTTGGTGGTTAGTAGAAGAGAGAGATAAGTGGACACATTTATTGTGTCTATAGTATTAAGCACAGTATCTTAAAGATGGTAGCTGCTCAATATATACTGCTGAATATATGTCCAAGTACTTAAAAATAGTCTCACATTCTTAATTTCTATATGATCTTCAAGTTTTTCCAGCTTCGATTTACCTCTTATGGCTTAATTTATTCCCACTGGACACTTGGGGAGTCAAAGAGTTAAAACTTCCAAATATTCAAGAAAATGATATAGGTCTCATGATGGAAATTCACCTGACAAAGAGCTGACATGATGGAGTTTGGAGTTCACATTGTTATTTATGGGAAGAAATAAACTATTGGAAACAAATGGTAAAAAGCGTAATTCAAAATCTGCAACAGGATGAAAATGGACAGGGTATTGGAATACAAACTCTACATTTAAAAAAAAGAGAGCCTTTGGTCATCATCAGCAAGAATACCGTGCCTAAATAGAGAATGTGGGTAAAATTAATTTTCATTAAAATTGGAAACTTTTCCAGTTCTTGCTTTTGATGTTTTTTGAAATATAGAACCTTCATCTTACTATCTTGATATGATCAATTTCCTAATATGTAGCTAATACTATCTTACTAGATAGTAATGTTTACAAAATTCTAAGAGCACTGAATGAGACCTGCTTGGAATCTGAGAAAAGACAGGCAAGTCAGTGGGTTCTCATTCTCTTTCACCTCTACCTTCCAGGACATTTAGATTCGTACCCATGAAGATTCATCCTGTATTAGGAATTCAACCCAAATTCCTTCAATACAAAGCAAAATACAGAGGAAAATGAGATCACTTTTTGCCACTTTCCACCTGAAATGCTAAATGGGCTCTGAATTGAGTGAAACTTGGCCCCACTCAGTGTGAAAACTGGCTGAAATCTGCATGAAAGGCAGTCTGGGTTTGTCGAAGTAGTTCATGAACTTTGGCCAAACTTTCAAGGAACCTGGTCCAAGTCTTAGTTTGTAATGCAACATGAAACCAGGTGAATTTCAGATGGTTTCAGGTTTCATCCTGAAAATTTGGCCTAGCTTTATAATCAATCATCACTCTTTTTAACGATGAAAGCCAACACACCTTTTTGAAAATGAGGACTGCATGCATACTGATGACAGCTAAGCTGTGAACCACCCTTCACTTCCTTTGCCAAAAGAAGATTTCTCAGAATGGAAACAGTTTCCCTCTTACCTGGAAAGGGGAAGTTGAGTGATTTTGATATTGCGTGTAGAAAGAAATGATACTCGATATGAGGAGACATGTCATGTGAAATAATCACCACATACAGAGCAAATGGCTGTATTCTAATCACTTAAGGTTATGAGAGTCTTATTTTATTCACATCCATGACAGTGGATAACGTGGTGTTTAATCTCCTAAAATGAGCATTTGGCTTGAAGCTAGTCATCAGCCAGAGTAACTGCCACGAGAAACAAAATGCTGTGAAACATAATCAGTATTTCTATATGAAGAAGTGACTGAAGAACAAAAGGGAAAGTATAATAAATCATAGCATAACTTTTGTCTAGTTTAAGAAACATGAGGAGATAATACAACTACAAACCTTTCAAGTTTGCATCAACTGCATCTTTTGCAAAAATATCTCTATGCAGTATAAATGCATTTAATAAGTAACTAAGCACAGTGAATTTTACAGAAAGACCTACATAGTTTCTTTTTTCAACCTGAAAGTTTTAAATGAGCCTTTCCACTGTAAAAAATTACTCTATTCAACCAAATACTTGCTTTTGTGCATAGTGACATGAGAAAATTGAGAGGTATGTCGAACGGAGCCACTACATCATTGAAACAGTATGTCTGAACATTTGGGTAATAAGGCACAGATGTGAAGTAGAGGACTTGGCACTACCAAGGTAACAACAAAGCATTCACCATTGTGTTATAATGGTTAAAAGGGCCACATCTGAGAAGCTTAAAAGAATGCTCCCTCCTACCTGCAATGCTAAATTGTATTACACCTTTTATCTGCTTAAAAATCTATAAAAACTAGAAATTCAAATAAGTATCATGCAAACTTATGGCAAAGAACAAATATGTAAAATGCACTGATAATTTTATCTGTAAAAAAACATTTATGCAATAGCACGTAAGGTTTAACTGCAGCAAAAGGCCAAATTCAATAGAAATCCATATGGCCTCTATGTTGTGAAACAATTCATGCAAATCTGAAGGACTCAATAGTCACGGGAAAGGTGGCTGCTATTGATTCTTAGAAGTGATTCTGGCCCTTACTCAATATGTCTAATTATTGTAGAATTTTCTATTTATAGGCATCAAGTAAAGATAATGCAACAGAATACATCCAAATCGTTAATCAGGTTTTTTTCACTTACAAGTGGTATGGTATTTTTGCCAGCCATTACTGAACCATGTGGCACAAAGGCAGTTATGAAGCTGGGGTACTTTCATTCAATAAACTTGGAGTTAGAAACTAATTTTCCGCCCAAGATAGGTAGAGCACAACTTACCCTAGGTCCCTGATCACCTTGTTCTCCCTGTAGAATAGAAAGGTGAGATAACAGTTTTAGCCAAAATTTATACATGATGTTCATTAAAAAGATCAAAATGTAACACAGTATAGGTCACGCCAATATGGATCTTCACTAACTTTATTTCTGGTATGCATTTTCTTACCTTATCGCCTTTTGGACCAGGAGGGCCCTGAAAAAAAGAAAGAGAAAAAAAATTTTAATTAAAAAAAGATATTGTAAACTGAATAGATCAGCCAGGTTAGTTGAAAGATTCATTCAAAGAATACAGAGATAGCTGTCAATGAGGTTTCTCAAGAAATTTTGGTTTCTAAACTATAATCATATTAGAATGTGAAACATATAACCATATATGTTTGTGCATGTATACCTGTACATATCATGTCATAAGTACATAATATGCTCAATAAATTTTCACAAACTCAGCACATGTATGCAAGTAGAACCCAGTTAAAGAAATAGAACATTACCTGCAAGTTAGAAGCTCCTGTTGGGACATTTCCTTGTCACCACCCTCTACCAACAGTAACCACTATTCTGACCCCTGACAATATAGATTAGCTTGTCTGTTTTTGTACTTCATGTACATAAAATCATAGAGTCCGGCCTCTTTTGCTTAATTAGTATGAAATTCATCCATAATTTTGTGTGTAGTTGTAGATTGTTCTTACTGCTTTATAATACTCCACTGTATGACTATATCATCATTTACTTATTCATTCTAGTGTTGGCAGCCATTTGTTTCCAGGAGTTTCTAGGTCTTGGCTATTATAAAAATACGCTATGGCCAGGCGCAGTGGCTCATGCCTGTAATCCCAGCACTTGGGGAGGCCAAAGCGGGTGGATCACCTTAGGTCAGGAGTTCAAGACCAGCCTGGCCAACATGGTTGAAACCACATCTCTACTAAAAATACAAAAATTAGCTGGGTGTGGTGGCGCATGCCTGTGATCCCAGCTACTTGGGAGGCTGAGGCAGGAGAATCGCTTGAACCTGGGAGGTGGAGGTTGAGGTGAGCTGAGATTGTGCCACTGCACTCCAGCCTGGACAACAGAGCAAGACTGTCTCCAAAAACAGTGCTATGAACATAGTAATTCATGTCTTTTGTGAAAATGTATATTCATTTCTGCTGGGTGTATATCTAGAAAAGGAACTGTTAGGTTACAGACTATACATATGTTCGGTTTTAGTAGATGCTGCCAAATGGTTTTTCAAAGTGATTCTTAACAATTTAAGCCCCATCAGCGATGTATAGAATTTCAGTTGCCCCATATTACCAATATTTGATATTTTCTATCTTTTTCATTTTAGGCATTCTGGTGGTGATGTAGTAATTTCACATCATGTTTTAGTATGTATTTACCCAGTGATTAGTAAATTGAACTCCCTTTTAATATACTTATTGACCATTTTACATCCTTTTTCATAAAGTGTCTCTTCATACCTTTTGTCCTTGGCCTACTGAATTGTCCTGTTGATTTGCTAGAGTTCTTTATCTATTATATATTATATATTGTACATATGTATGTAGGTAGATGTAGAGTTATTTATATATTTTGAATGAGTCTTTTGTCAGATATATTTACTGCAAATATGTTTTCCCACTTTGTTTACTGCCTTTACATTCTCTTACAGGTGTTTTTGATGAACACCTCTGAGTTCTTAATTTTAATAAAACTCAATTTAACATTTTTTATTCTTTATAGTTGTCCCTTTTTATATTCCACTTAAGAAATCTTTGCCTACTTCAATGTCATAAAGAGGGCTTTCCATTTTAGTTTAGAAGCTATTTTTTTAGCTAAAGTTTATTTTATAAGCCAAAAACTTCATTATTTTATCTTCCATATTGAAATCTGAATTTATTAAGAACTGATTGTGTATGATGTGAGGTAAAAGTCAAGATGCTTTTTAAAAATGTGGATATCAAATTAACCAAACACCATTTCTTGAAAATGTACCTTTTCCCCATTATAGTACAGTATTACCTTTGTCATAAGTTAAGTGATGCTACGTATGTGGCTCTTTACAGGAATTTCTATTTTGTTGGGCAGCTGTCTATTCCTGGGCCTCATTGAGATTTTCCTTACCTTTGAACAGAAATACTAATTCTAGAGGCACTGATACATTTTCTAGCTCTTAAAGATAAAGTCATGTTTTGGTTTCAGCCCACCTGAGGAGCTGGAGCATTTCAGAGTCACCTTCTCTCACCTCCATTTTCAGCAGGGCTGAGGAAAAAGGACAAGGCTGGACAGGAAACAGGCCCAGGTTCTAGCAAAGTACCCCATCCTAGGGGCCAGTGGAGGCTGCTATGTCACTGCAGGTGGGAACGTAGCAATGCTCCACCTTCCAAAACATTTCCTTTTGCTAAGTACCAGCTACAGAGTAACTGCACCAAATTCCCATTCTCAGTGTGGCCCTTCTGGTAACAGCTGTGAAATTACCATAAAATTACTAATAACTACATCATGTCCTATACTTTGTGTCTTTTACCATTGACAAGAAACTTTTTCACCTGTTATTGCATTTAATCTTTTCCACAATCCAACGAGATAAGTATTATGATAATCCTTTTACAGATGCCAAAAATGAAACTCAAAGACTATCAATGTTAGGCTTCTTGTGAGTTAGAAAGGACTTTAACCCAGTATGTGTGACTTTAAATGCAGAGGTTTTGACACAAAGTATTGGAACACAGCTCTGGAACTAGAGTCTCAGAAAGAAGGATACCTATCTGGTGCCTGCCTTCAACAAGCGCCATCTAAAATGCCTCCCTAGTGCATTTTCCACAGTGTCACAGACACTAGTCCCAGCGTCTCAAGTTCAAAATGAGAGAAAGGGGAATAGAGGAGGAGTGAGGAGGGGCAGAGGGGACTAAGATAATGGAAATCAACTTTATAAAACCTTTTTATCTCTTACCCCCAAAATCATTTTGCAAGTTAAAAGAGGAAAGAGAAAATATTATTTTTGTTTTCAATAAATTTTTAACATTTTTATTATTTTCCATGAATCAACTAGTAATTAGTGAGTACAGTCTGTGTGTTCATCTCTGGAAAATTAAGTTTAAGGACTTTATTCAATTATTTTTAACACATGCAAAATGCTTACTAAGGTTATACAAGTAGGATTTTATTTGTGGTGGGGCAGATGAAAGCCAAAGAAAATAATAATGAGAGGATATGACCAAATTTAAAAAATACAATTGAGGTTCTAGTCTTGATTTAAGTAGCATGTTAGTTAACTTTATTTCGATTTTTACACACATTTGTTGAATGTCTATACAGTGTGGCAACACTGTAAGCACTGGGGGAACATATATGTTTGGGAAAGGCTGATTTAGAAAGACATAGTCCCTGTCCTGGAGAAGCTAAATAGCCTAGTGTCTAAGGCAAACAGTTTCCACATAGTAGCATTAAGAAAAAACGACCTCTACAAAACTCAGCTACATCAAGGTCAACTGTTACTATAGACACCTCCCCAGCCTCCATATCCACCCCCTTCCCAGGTTTCTCTTTAAACTTTTGTTTGCTTTTGCCAGTGAGATTTCACAGGCCACATCTCCCATTGTACCAGTCCTCTAAAGGCACCTTGTTAGGTTACACAGCATCTTTAAGGACAAAGTTTTTGTGAAGTTATTTGACAGTGAGGAACAGAGACAACCCTTTTCCTCAAAGTCCAATTACTCATGCCAAATCCACGTATCAACTAGAGTTCTTTAGCCAACTTGCCCTGAGCAAGAATGCTTAATTTGCATCTACAATTGAGCAATAAATATTGCTGCCTCAAAAGATGGTGTTTCTGAGCAGACAGTATGGCGTCCTGGCACCTGCCAGCTTAGGACAGAAGCAAAGCCGAGGTCAACCTCCATGCACAGCTGCAGCGGCTGCTTCGGACGCTCCGGCCCCGACTTGTGCACTTGGATTAACAGCAGGTGTTTTCTTCTGCTCTGACTGAAATCCCACTCTTCCTTCCGAATTGGACCCTCTTCACTGAAAATATGGGTTAAATTTGCAGAACAAAGTGGGCTACCTTAGTAAACACAGATAGTATAATATTTCCAAAATTTAGAAGCCATACTTCTTTTCTAAGTCAAAAAATTACAAATGAAAGAAAGGTTTATTTGAACATTACCCTTTAAAATTAAAATTGGGGTATTAATTTTTTTTTATCTTTAGCATTAAAAAAGCTAACTAGTATTAACTAAAGGATAGGCAGCAATAAAAATTAATGGCTATTTGAATTACAAATTATTTTTCAATGGCACATTGCTGTTTCCAACTAAACCAAGCTCAACAATCTAATATTTAGTAGACATATTTATTGTTCAGGTGACAGTATCAATGGCTGATTGGTAACTATTTGAAGATAAAACTTTGTTGCTCCAACAAGGTTAGGGTCAATGGAAAGGAAAGATGGTAAAATTAGCAGTCATAGGGAAGTGAACAGTGAGTCACAGCTCTATAGAAGGCCCTTTTGGGGACTCTTGTCCTGGTTTGGTCTAGAATCCAATAGTCAGATCTTTTATAAGCCCCACTTTAATAAATAAGTAGGAATATTTGATATGATCTTTTGAATTAGTTGTATGTAATTAATCCTAAAGTTAATTACATTAATAAGTACTTAAGGGTGCTAATAAAGTTTTTATTTATTAGTGTTGTTAGTAATTAGAAGATTTATTTTAGGGCATTGTTGGAATGTTATTAACTTCCTACACCAAAGGATTTCTAAATTTCTGTGGCAAACTTAAAATTAGCCCCTGTTCAAACGGCTTTACATTCAGAGTTTGCAAGAACCACCCTTCTATTTGTAAAAAGCCTTTAATGTGGGTTTTGGCCTATACCAATTTAAGTCTCCTCAAATCTACTTCCGTTTAAGTAACTAAGGTTTTAGCTTTTTTCCTATGCTCTATTGTCTATTTCAATTAAATGATAAAACCAAACTAAAAACAAAGAGAGGCACAATGAATGACATTCAGGAAAATATTGAATTTCAATCTACATAACAGCAATGGAAATACAGCTGGAAAAGAGAGATATATTCATAGGCCTGGAGTAACCCAATCATGGTTTTTTATTTACTGGAACTGTAAATTATATTTGCTTTGAACTGGAAAAAACTAAGGCAGGAATAGTTTTTAAAAGATGACAATCATGAAAACAAAATTAAATTCTGCTTGGGGTAGAAAAAAGTGGAAAAGGAGCAAATGCTGGGAATTCTTGGCAGCCCGAGTGCCTGGAATAAGAATGGGGTTATGACTTCTATCCCAGGAAAGAATAGATAAGTTTATTTTTATTCATGAAATATAACAAAACCTTTTCTGATTAATCTATTCATTGCTGTAGAAATATGAGGACAAGCAAGCTTCATTCTCTAAGAATTTCTGGCTCACTATCAGCCAGGCGATGTACTCTGAGTCTGGAGGAGGGACATGTAAATATAATCACAATCAGTGGACTAAATACTGTGTTGTGGGAGTACAGAGCAGAAAGAGGTGGGAGAGCTGGAGTTGAAAAGATGCTATTGGAACTGGCTCTTGAAAGATATCCAGGAGTAAGGCGATGGAAGATGGAGGGAGGAGGAGCGAAGCAGGCCCGGGGGGAAGGGATGCACATGCCCAGTTGTGAGAAAATACCACTCTGTCAGAGAAAGGAGTTCAGGGTGGTAAGAACATGTGGGGAGTGGAGATAGAAAATAGCAGGAAAGAGATTTTAAAAGGCTGGTTAACCACACTCAGGCGTTTGAGCTGGATTCTGTCATCAATGTAACAAGGAGTGCGGAGATGAAGTGTGCTCTGTTTTGTGGAACTCTGAGAACACGGGGTGTTCGGGATTCTTAGGAAGTATTTGCCTTGGTCCAAAAGAGAGATGGTAAAGCTTTGAATTAAGGTTGTGCTAGTGGAGGCACAGGGAGAGGTCTAGATTCAGGAGACATTTCTCAAGTAAAAAACAACAAGACTGGTTAACTGATTGGACATGGGGGCCACTGACAGGTGTCAACATGTTTTAACAAGTCCTACTTATTTCAAGGTTCACAATTTAGTGTATTTGCAGACAAGCTTTGGCCTAAGCTGGTTCAACGTAGATGAACACAGCAGTTCCACAGCCAAGTGAATCAAATAGAGTTTAAATCTGGTTTTAGTGTTATATTTCAAATCCACAGTGTTGGCAGCGTCGGCTGGCCTAATTGGAAATAGCTGAGGAGAGAGAAAACATTCTCTATCACCACCATTGAGCAGAAGCAGCACAGAGGTAGTCATAACTGCCTCCCCTCAGAAGCCACAATTCTTCCGTGTTAACTTCTGAATAGAGGAAACCTTTATCACATTTTCTTTCCTCTACTTTTTCAACTGTAAACTGAATATGGAATTACTCTATTTTAAACTCCACAAGTTTCCTACTCTTTTAAAGATAAAGAAGATAGTCTGCTGTACAAGCCGTCCTCTAGGAGCACAGCACAACCTCAATGGTCACCGCACGTCTGATGTGGATCTTCTTTCTGATGTGCTCAGGCACAAGCAAACATCGATGTTCACAATCTCACAGGGAGGAAGCGGAATATCCCGTTTTTCTCTTGTACAACTAGGATAGAAGCTTCAATTCTACTGCCTACTCCCTAAATTGCATGATGAACTTGACTCATAGTGCCAATGACACACATACTCAATCCCCACACTTACAAGGAAACTGAATTTGGTACCACAGTTTCTTAACAGGTCTCTAAAACTGCAGAAAACCACATTGCAAATAGTATTAACAATTGAAAATCTAGTGTTTTACTTGAAAAATAGGGATCCTAGGTATTTAGGTGAGGATACATCCACCCTACTTCTGAAAAAAAGTGTTTTATGTAGTACAGGTTTACCTCCAACTAGAATGTGAACATGTGTTCTTTCGAGTATTTACTTTCACCTTAAACTCATACATAGTTTTCTGTTTTACTGGCACACATTTTTTAGAGACATTTCTTCTTCAAACCACTAAGTTGTTTTATAGACTTTCAACTTTGCAAATAACGAACTACAAATGTGAAAATTTTAAAGTTAAAATAACTTTTTCTGAAAAAACTGATGTAAAATCATAGGAGTTCCCGTATGTAAGTATAGATAAATTGTGTGTGTGGATACTTGTGTTTAATATCTTTTTAAATGCTTCAGTAAAAAAGTTAAAAAAAAGTGAAAGTAGAATTTGAGAGTTACTTTAAAATGCAGTACATGAAATAACATATCTTGGCGGTTAAGAGCTCAAGTTTTGGAGTCAAACCGATGCAGATTGAAATCCTGGCTACAATCACCTGTGTGATCTTTAAATGGTTAATTAATCTCCTTGTTCCGCAATTTCTTAATCTTAAAATGGGGAAAATAATGCCCACTGTTTGGCTAAAATAAAATATTATACATGAAGCAATTTATAAAATGCCTGCCCTACCAATAATATAATAGTAATTATCAAGTACACACTTAATATTTTAATTATCATAAACATAAAATAAAATTTATTTTTCAGATACTTGACTTGAGGATAAAGAAATACAATCAACTTCCTGGCTAGGCACGGTGGCTCATGCAGCACTTTAGGAGGCTGAGGCAGGCAGATCACAAGGTCAGGAGTTCGAGACCAGCCTGACCAACATGGTGAAACCTCGTCTCTACTAAAAATACAAAAATTAGCCAGGCGTGGTGGCATGCGCCTGTAATCCCAGCTACTCAGGAGGCTGAGGCAGGAGAATCGCTTGAACCGAAGAGGCGGAGCTTGCAGTGAGCTGAGATCGTGCCACTGCACTCCAGCCTGGGCAACAGAGTGAGACTCTGTCTCAAAAAACACACACACACAAACAAAACAAAAAAGAAATACAATTGATTTCCTAAACCAAAAGAAAATGCCTTGGGAAATGTCCTGGGGGGACGGTGGAAATATTTCGAGAATAGGAAGGTCTAATATAGTCTACCTCTATCGTTAAGGAACTATTACCAAACAAAACAAATAAACTTGGTCGTAGTTTTAACCACATTACTTTTATGATTAAAATAGACTAAACGTCAGGCCCTAGAACCACCTAGTCACCCGTAGCATAGAGTAGGTGCCCAACCAGTTCTTGCTGAATTGAAAGGCCCAGAAAGAAAAGAATGCAATAAAACTCTGTGTTCAAAACAGCAACATATAAAGCATTATAGAAGAACCAGATTCAATGTTGCTGCAGAAGAACCGTGTTTATTATAGTGTCAAACTCTGCTAAGCCAGGGAAGGGAATTATAGCTATAAACAGATTTATAGCTTCAGACTTTACACCTTTCAGTGTGTACTGAAGATTAAAAGAGACCAAGCAGAGGGGGTGGGTATAAACAGAAACTTTTAAAATATCAAAACCAGCCTCACTTACTAGAAAACAAATTTTTATGGCTATTATTTTCTGGGCATTTTCCACAGTAAGATCATAACTATAAGGTTTTTTGTGATGTCCATCTGAGCCCTGAACAAGGGACTATATGTGCCCATGATCAGTCTTAAATCAAAAGCAGCTGCCATAAGGAAGCAATTAGTGGGTCTAGCACTAAAGAACATTTAGAAAAACCAAACATTAAAAAAGGACTCTCAAAAGTAAGACTGATGTAGCTCAATGGAGTTAAAGGCTTATAAAACAGCAGGAATCAGGGACGCTCTCTCTGGTTTTCTTTTCTAACACAATACAAATTAAATACAGTCAAATTACCGCTCCTGCCAATCAAAACGAAGGGAACCCTTCTACCTAGCATCATTCCTTGCCTCACATGTTTTAAGAAATTGCTAAAACTTCTTTGTTTAACTTTGATTTTTTTTTAACTTATTTTTAAGAGGTCAAATAAAATGAACTCCATGGTGAAAGACTTGGAATCCTAAACATTCCTTTTGTCGAAAGAAAGTATCAACTTGCTCTTTTAATGCCCTAGTAGCCCTGTGATTTTACAGCTAATGGTGCAATCTACCCTAAAATGCTCTTACTGTCCTCAACACGATTCAAATGTATTCAGAGATACGTTCATGTTTATACCTTGGGTTTAATCTATAATTATCGATTTCAGCATGTTTCCTAATATATTGTCCCAACATAATTTTACCCGGGCTACTTAAGAAACATTGTTTGCCGGTCAGTTGGATTCTTTGCTTCATTTGCAGTAGTATTGTGTCCAGAATTGGTGGGTTCTTGGTCTCACTGACTTCAAGAATGAAGCCGCGGACCCTCGCAGTGAGTGTTACAGCTCTTAAGGTGGCGCATCTGGAGTTTGTTCGGATGTGTTTGGAGTTTCTTCCTTCTGGTGGGTTCATGGTCTCGCTGGCTCAGGAGTGAAGCTGCGGACCTTCGCAGTGAGTGTTACAGCTCTTAAGGCGGTGCGTCTGGAGTTGCTCGTTCCTCCCTGTGGGTTCGTGGTCTCGCTGGCTTCAGGAGTGAAGCTGCAGACCTTCGCAGTGAGTGTTGCAGCTCATAATGGCAGTGTGGACCCGAAGAGTGAGCAGCAGCAGGATTTATTGCAAAGAGCAAAAGAACAAAGCTTCCACAGTGTGGAAGGGGACCCAAGCGGGTTGCCACTGCTGACTCGGGCAGCCTGCTTTTATTCTCTTATCTGGCCCCACCCACATCCTGCTGATTGGTAGAGCGGAGTGGTCTGTTTTGACAGGGCGCTGATTGGTGCCTTTACAATCCCTGAGCTAGACACAAAGGTTCTCCAAGGCCGCACCAGATTAGCTAGATACAGACTGTCCACACAAAGGTTCTTCAAGTCCCCACCAGAGTAGCTAGATACAGAGTGTTGATTGGTGCATTCACAAACCCTGACCTAGACACAGGGTGCTGATTGGTGTGTTTACAAACCTTGAGGTAGATACAGAGTGCCAATTGGTGTATTTACAATCCTTGAGCTAGACACAAAGGTTCTCCACCTACCCACCAGACTCAGGAGCCCAGCTGGCTTCACCCAGTGGATCCCGCACAGGGGCTGCAGGTGGAGCTGCCTGCCAGTCCCCCACAGTGCGCCTGCACTCCTCAGCCCTTGGGTGGTTGATGGGACTGGGCGCCCTAGAGCGGGGGCGGCGCTCATTGGGGAGGCTCCCGCCGCACAGGAGACCATGAGGGGGGCGGGAGGGAGGCTCACGCATGGCGGGCTGCAGGTCCCGAGCCCTGCCCCGCGGGAAGGCAGCTAAGGCCCAGCGAGAAATTGAGCACAGCAGCTGCTGGCCCAGGTGCTAAGCCCCTCACTGCCCGCGGCAGGTGGGGCCAGCCGGCCGCTCCGAAGTGCGGGGTTCGCTGAGCCCACGCCCACCCGGAACTCCCGCTGGCCCGCAAGCACCGCGCGCAGCCCCTGTTCCTGCCCGCGCCTCTCCCTCCACACCTCCCCACAAGCTGAGGGAGCCGGCTCCGGCCTTGGCCAGCCCAGAAAGGGGCTCCCATAGTGCAGCGGCGGGCTGAAGGGCTCCTCAAGTGCCGCCAAAGTGGGAGCCCAGGCAGAGGAAGCGCCAAGAGCCAGCGACGGCTGTGAGGACTGCCAGCATGCTGTCACCTCTCAGTATGTAGAGCAATATAGGTTTTATGAAGGGCCCCTAAGCACAACACAGGATAAGGGTAAGATGTTCCTTGGAGTCTAAAGAGATACTCAGAAGGAATTAAAAAATGACTCTCAGATGAGGCTAGGAGAGTCTGACTCTCAGGGCTTGTCTACCATTCTCCTTCTTCCAATGTATATTGGATCTCCCTCCTTTTCAGTTGATGCCTAAGATCATCAAAGGCTTTTAATATGAGCTTCTACAACTACCACACTCCCAATCTTCAGAGTCTTCTGTACCTTCATCCTTCTCTCTGTGGAGTGAAGAACACTGTACCTACCCACTTCTGTGCTTCCTCCCAGCCTTGCCCCAGTTACTCTTTTTCTCACTTGTCTCTTCAATCATTCCCATTACCTTGGATTCTCCTCCATGCTCTTCGAACATGTTCTTTCACCCTCTCCTAAAGACAAGGGGAAGCAAAGCTGCCTTTGCCCATTACTCCCTCATTTTAATGTCTTGTCTTCTTCCTCACTGTCTCCCTAAGTAGATTGGGCATAGAAAGGAAGTTGAATTGCAGGACAGAAGGGGAGGTAGCAGAATAGACGTCATATTTTTACGGTCTGTTTTGGGAAAAATAAACATGAGTTGAAATACATACTGATCTTGGGGACATTTCTTTCCATTAGGAAGCAGAAAGCTAAACTATGGGAAGGAAAACTGCTGAGCCAGTCCTCAAGGCATAAGAGAGGAGTTATCTCTGGTGAAACTAAAACCAAATAAACTGGAGTTTTGGGAAGATGGGGTTGACAAAACCTGTAAACATTCAGATTGCCCAAGTTTGTGTCTAAACCTTTTTTGTTTTTTACTCTACTTCCCTCATTAGCTATGAAATATATACCCTTAAGGCTATAACTATTACCTGACTTATGTCCTAAATTCTTTTTCAAGCTGCAATCCTGCATTCTCAAGTGGTCACCAGATGTATAAGCCAACATATACTATCATCAGCTCAAATTCAACATTCTCAAACCAAATTTCTCAATTTCTGTTGCAAGCCATTCATGATTCTTGACTTTCCTATTTTTCCTATTTTTGTTAAACACAGTACTGCTCCTCCAAGCCTAAAAGCTGAGTATTATATTTGATTCACTTAACTTAATCTATTGCCAAGTCCTATAGATTTCATTTTCCACAAAATCCCTTGAATCTATGGCCATCTTTTCATGTTTGTTGCACCCTTATTCCTGGATAACTGGAATAATCTACAAGCCTCTGTTGGCCTTACCTCTTCTACTCCATCCTACATACTTTTGTCAGATTAATTTTTCTAAAGCACATTGCTGAGCATATCATTCCTCAGCTCAAAGAACTTCAGGGGCCCATTTTGTAATCTACAATGAAAAAGTTGCCATAGACAACAATCTTCAATAGATGTATTTGGTGAAAGGTTGCTGGGTATCAGGTCAACATACCTTGACCTCCTGATCAACCAAACTTTGTGTACTTCTTGATATAATGAACTAAGAATTGTACTATACATTTATTACAGGTTTTCCTAAAAATTGAGCCAAACCTACTCAATCTTCTGAATGTAACCTGTAGTTTAAATAAAACAGAGAACATAGGGGAACAAGTTAAATAATACCAAAAGGAAGTAATTAGACAAATCCAGAATGTGGGACACTCTAAATATATAATAAATGTCCTAGAAAAACTGATTTCATGAAACAATAAGGGGAAGGAAGACCACTATAGAATAAGAAAGACTGAAGAGTTTTAATAATTAAATGCCAAGTGCAGGCTTTGGGTCTTGGTTCTAACAAAACATCTGTAAAAAGACATTTTTGAGACAATTGGTGAAATTTAAATATGGACTGAGTGTTGATATTAAGAAATTACTGGTAATTTTATTAGGGTTGATGATAAAATGGTGGTTATGTTTTCCAAAGCCTCTATCAGTTAGAGATTCATATTTCAGTATTTGTAAATATAACAACATAATATCTAAGCTTTGCTTTAAAATATACCAGCAAAAACTAAACAAAACAAAATAAATGAGAGGAAAGGGATTCATAAAAGTAAGATTAGCAATTGATGTTTCTTGAGGCTGGGTGATAGGTCTAGGTCAATTTATGATACTATTTTCTCCTCCTTTTGAGAATCTTTGAACATTCCCATAGTAGTTATATAATTTAAAAATTTATTTTACAATGCTCTTCCCATTCATGCCAAATAAAGCATTAACTTCTACCTGTGTCCAAAGCCTTCTATAACCTGCTCCTAATTTTCCTTTTCTGCCTTATCTTCCCCAATTCTCCACAAGGAGCCTCTCCTCCAGCCTGTCTTCAATACCATCTATTCTCAAAATGACCCTCTGTCTTCTCACTCTCTCTATCTTTACTTACGTCCTTCTTTCTCCTGAATAAACATTATCAATTGTCATTTTGCTTGGAATAGTTACAGCATACCTTTCTTTTTTTTTCTTTTTCTTTTTTTTTTTGAGATGGAGTCTCGCTCTGTCGCCCAGGCTGGAGTGCAGTGGCATGATCTCTGCTCACTGCAACCTCCGCCTCCCGGGTTCAGGCAATTCTCTGCCTCAGCCTGCCGGGTAGCCGGGATTACAGATGCCCACCACCATGCCTGGCTAATTTTTTGTATTTTTAGTAGAGACGGGGTTTCACCATCTTGGCCAGGCTGATCTTGAACTCCTGACCTCGTGATCCACCCGCCTCTGCGTCCCAAAGTGCTGGGATTACACAGGTGAGCCACCGCGCCCGGCCGTGCATACCTTTCTTAAACGTCTTACCTGGAAGCCTGAGCTATGAAGCTACTTGGAAAAACAAAAACAAAAAAAAACCATAGACTTTTGAGTTTCTGGAAGAAAATTTTGTTTTTGCAGTACAGTCCCATCTCCACCTCCCCCATAAGCTCACAATCTCTATAGCAATCATTGATGACTCATCTCCATGATCTCGCTCCCCAAAGCATTACCAGACTATCCTTTGAATATGTCCTTTCCTTATTTCTGAACTCCTAAAACACTTGTGTCACTTTTATGAAACTTAGCTCACCCTGCTGGGAATAAGATTTGTTTCTTAATAACATACCAGGGCCCTTGAGGGTAGGAAAAGAGGTACATGGGGAAACATAACAAACACCGACTTTGGAGGCTTTAATATATACTACCACGTGACCTTTGGCAAATGACTTAACCTCTCTGAGCCTCAGTTTCCACATCTGTAACCTAGAGCAAAGAATAATTACCTCATATGCAAGTTGTAGAAAGTAATTAAAAGAATGCAGGTTTTTCTGTAAATATTACTTCCACTCCCTTTCTCTCAAATGTGTAGCTTTGTGCCTTATACATGGTAAATATCCAATAAATACATTAGCATATTTTCTGCAACAAAGGCCTTTAACAATACATCGGGACCAAAATTAGTATTTTCTGAATAGCCTGATAGCAATAAAAAAGACACAGATATCTGTGTATCCAACATGCTTCCAATGAGTGCTTATGAGGATAGAGTTCAACTAGAAATTGTGCCTTTTGGGGTGACTACAATTTCTCATGTGTCGACTCATGACACTAAGTCAGGAGAGTTAATAGAAGAAAGAATAAAAACTTTGCACAGTCTCCTGGAGAGGAAATGAACAGTATTCAATGAAATGTTTTTCTCATATCTCAAACACAGGCATACATTTTTGGCTCCTGTTTCCCTCCTCCCTGTGACTTCAAAGTTTTAAAAAGAATTATTCTGTTTTTACTCCCCCCACATTTTCAATAACGAGTCACTCCTGAAACCATGGCAAATGCTGCACTGAAAACCACCAGGCTACTGAAGTTACTGAATAACTTTCTACTTGCAAACCCAGTAACATTTCACATGCTCACCATTTCTCCCTTAGCTTCACTGGCAACACTTTTCCTCTGGGTCTTCGACTAATGGGGCTTTCTCAATTTCCTTCCCTGGACCTTTCCGTCTTCTGCAATTCATAATTAACCCTACCCTCATTTCTGTCTTTTCTTCCCCTCTACACACTCTCTGGGGATCCCCTTTATTTCCACAGTGTCAGCTACTACTTGTCCACTCTATCCCACTGTGGCCTCTCTCCAGGACTCTGCCTACTGACCACTCTACATCTGCTCCTGGATGTCCTATTCTCATCTCAGATCATTATGTTCACCACAAAGACTTGGTAGTTTTCTTCTGAGTAAACTGCATGCACTTTATTCAGGGTCCTGCTGGCCCAAATTGGGACTGGATCAGTTAGAGGAGGCTTCCATCCAGATGAAGCTCGCTGCCAGGCTCCCAGCTAGGCAAGTGGAGCAGAAGCTGGATTTCAAACTGTGCCTGCCCCTTGGCTGAGCTGCTTTGTGCAGTGCACAGTGTGCACAAATGTCAATGGTGGTGCTGAGCTTATTGCAAGTAGTAATGTTTCCTTCACAAATGAAAAATTCTACTATGTTTATTTTTTTTCAAGTAGCCCCATAGCTTAGGTTGCCACGTAAGAAGTTTCAAGGAAGGTGTGCTATAACTCTTCTAAGCAAAATGATAATTGATGATATTTACTTGACTATATCAATTAAGGATACATCAGCTTTGACTTGTCTTCAATTCTGCGTATTTTTTATTAAAATAAAATTTACTAATTTTGAATTACTATGATCAATTCTGCCTGATTTAAGAGTTCCAATAATTAGCACTGGATATACTGATCATTTGGAGAGACAAAATACAAACCTTAAAGTGTATAGGCTAACATTAACTTGGTGAAAGATTAGACTCTGCTACACTCACTGTGCTAACCAGATTTAAGCATGCCCTACCCAAAAGAGAGAAAACAGAACAACATGTTTCTGGAACTGTTTTTCTAACTACTATCATATAGCATTCCCCATTTTAATCTCTCTACTATCCAAAAAATAAGTATATATTTAAAATGTGATATCAGTTGAAATGTCTGAAGATGCTTAGAGAGAAAATAAAATTAGCCTATCAAGAATTTTGGCTAGGATATAAAAATTACCAAATACGCCGGGCGCAGTGGCTTACTCCCGTAATGCCAACACTTTGGGATGCCAAGGCAGGTGGATCACTTGGGGTCAGGAGTTTGAGACCAGCCTGCACAACATGGTAAAACCCCGTCTCTACTAAAAATACCAAAAATTAGCCAGGTATAGTGGCGGGGCTGTAATCTCAGCTACTCAGAAGGCTGAGACAGGAGAATCGCTTGAATCCGGGAGGCAGAGGTTGCAGTGAGCTGAGATCACACCATTGCACTCCAGCCTGGGCAACAAGAGCAAAACTCCATCTCAAAAAAAAAAAAAAAAAAAAAAAAAAAATATATATATATATATATATATATATATATATATCTCAAAAGAATCGATAAAAATATATATGTGAAATTATATCTACAGAAATAATATACATCACAAAATTTAAAAGTAAAATTTTTAAAGTCTGAAATATTTCAAAGTGAATTAATCTTACTTCACTGAAGAACATTTTGAACTAAAACTTTGCTCTCTTTAAAGAAAATTATACATACCGTGTGCACATAAATGTTTATTTACATAGAGGGTCTTATGCTATAACCATATCTAACAGTGATAGTTGCTCCATTATTTCTTAACTTTAATATTGAATTATTTATCCCAAAAAATCTATCTACTTTGAGGTTATTATTATATTAAGTGTTTATCCAGCAAGTAAAGTACCACCTCTAAGGGCAATATCAAGTCATTATGGCTCTATCTCAGTATGAGTGCTTATGTGAGAAGGTATATATGTGGGTGTTTACATGTGCATAAATATGCCTTTACTAATAACAGTTATATATGTGTGCCAGTACACTGTTTTAAGTGCTTCATTAGGTCACATATTAAGTTAAACCAGCTATTTTCATTTTACATTGAAAAACTGAAGGAAAAAAGTTAACTTGTCCAAAGTCATACAGCTCATAAGTGGTAGGCCACAACTTAAACCCAGGTACCTACCCCTGGAGCCCATACCCTTCACCCTGTATGTGTTTCATTTGCTATTGTACAACCAGACTGCTAAAAGCTGATATTTTCAGTAGGCTCAGAATTTCATCATCAAATGCATATAAAATTATCATTAAATCTGAATGATTAAATATGTACATTTATTTAACAGAAATTTATTGTGCATTTTCTATAGCTCAGTATTGTATAAAGATGCAGTAATGAGTAAATTCAGGGAGTGATAACAGCTTCCACAGATGCAAAACATTGTTGGACTAAGTTAATTATTCATGAAATGCTACGTGTTATTTACCTTTATTCAGGCAGAATTGAGAGGAATATATTAGAAAACATAGCATAAAGTAGGCAATAGAAATTCTTCAGCTAATTTCAGTGAGAAAAATTCTAAGATAAAATTAAACTCTGAGATGATACTACACCATTTAAATACACAAATGATCATGTTAAAAACAATGAAATATGGATTATAGTAAAATAAATAAGCCGTTATACCATGTGTACTCTTAAAGACATAAACTATCTGGAGTACAATGGAGTTTTTCATATCATATTAACCATCTGCTTCATAAAACATCAAAAATTCTAATATATTAAGACTTTTATTATCATTCTCTTTATAATGCAACCACCACATAAAATAATATAACAGAAAATGATAATACTTTGCAAGTCTAGCATGATTTCTTTAGGATAGACTACATTCTTAGTTTAATATGACAGTTCTGTTGTGTAGTGAGCAAAATACTTTCTGCACACACATGCACACATATGCATGCAAAGGCACACGCTTTTTGAATTTCTTGGAGAATGTATATTTACTTCCACTCCCCGCCCCCAAGTCAGGCTATATGATCTGAAAAAGGCTGGATTGGAACACACACATGAAATATGGGAATTTCTAAAGTGTTAGGTTAGAAAGAGCTTAGTATATAATTAAAAACATATGAATAGAAAGTTAAATACTGCCCCAAAATATAATATTTTATTCAGGAATAATTCCTTTTTAAGGCACACACAGCTTGAGTTTTGTAAATTTTAGTAAAATACTGTGAAATGAAATTAATAATTAGAACACACACACAGAAGGAAGCAAAGAAAGATTTGGGGGAAAAGGCAAAGTGACATCCTCCACTTCTTTTCAAGAGCATCTGAAAAAGTACAAATGGCAGCCTCAAGCCCCTGTGTGCAGTTGTCCGATGGTACTTGCTTGTGGTTTCTCTCACATTTTTTTCTCACTGAGTAATACAGAATTACAACACGCATAACACTTTACTCCTCCAAATTCCTAAGGCAATTATATCTCCTTTATGTTCATGAAACTCCAAAAGAGAGTTATGAGGCTTTGAAACTAACAATTTTATGCGAAAGAAATGGTCTTAGTGTTGAAGGCCATTAATACAATGTCCTACTATTTCACTATCCTCTGTTGAAGATACTGATGGGGTTATTTGGGCCAAAGTCATGGTCAATAGATCTTTGTAAAGAATACAGGATAGAATCCTGAGAAAGTTTTAAAATATAACTAGCTTCTACAATTTGTATAAAAGTCTTTATTAGTGGAAGAATATTGATATCTAAGGAATGTGTGGTTATACACAACCACCATGAACTATTTTCTATGATAGTCCCAAGAAAGCCAAGCCTCAGACCCCACAAATAAATTGTTACAAAATAAAATAACATAACATAAGTATGGCCCTGGGTTAGTACTGTTTATTTTCACCAAAGATTAAATATCAATGTAAATAAACTACCATAATGAAGGAAACAAAGGTATCCACACTCCAAACCATGTGGACGCAAGTTATTGAAACTGCTAAGTGTTCAGTAAAATCTCAGGGCTTAGGAACCTCAGAGATGTCATTTAAATGGCACTATTTATGACACATGATATTACTGACTAGGTCATTATATTTTGTTTGTTTTGTTTTTTTTTTGTTCTTATTATTCTATTTTTAATTGACAGAGAAAATTATATGTATTCTGAGTCTCAAGTCAAGGCTAAATGAAATAAAAATTATATGCATTTTTCATGTACAACATGATGTTCAGAAGTATATATACATTGTAGAATGACCAAGTCTAGCTAAATAACATATGCATTACCTGACATGGTTATCATGTTGTGGTGAGAACACTTAACATCCAATCTTAGCATTTTCCAAGAATACAGTATATTGTTATTAACTGTAGTCACCATGTTGTACCATAGATTTCTTAAACTTATTCCTCCTAGCTGGAATTTTGTATCCTTTGAACAACATCATCCCACACTCCCACCCCAAACCCTGCCATCTGCTGATAACTGCCATTCTACCCTCTGCTTCTGTAAGATCAACATTTTTTGATTCCACATACGCATGAGAACACGAGGTATTTATCTTTCTGTGCCTGGCTTATTTCACTTAGCATAATGTCTTCCAGGTTCATCCATGTTGTTGCAAATGACAGGATTTCCTTCTCTTTTTAAGGCTGAATAGTATTCGGTTGTGTAAACATACCACATTTTCTTTATCCATTCATCCACAATGGGCTAGGGCACTTCCAATTCTAAAAAGCTAATAGTTTTCTCTTTCCCTCAACCTCCTTTTCCTAAAGCACTCATATGTACCATTTACAACTCAATAATAGTTGTTAAACTTCCACCATGTGCAAGAAAATAAATTAGGTAAGCTGGGTGCGGTGACTCACGCCTGTAATCCCAGCACTTTGGGAGGCTGAGGAGGGTGGATCACCTGAGGTCAGGAGTTTGAGACTAGCCTGGCCAACATCATGAAACCCCATCTCTACTAAAAATACAAAAATTAGCTGGGCGTGGTGGTAGGTTCCTGTAATCCCAGCTACTCCAGAGGCTGAGGCAGGAGAACTGCTTGAACCCGGGAGGCAGAGGTTGCAGTGAGCCAAGATTGTGCCATTGCACTCCAGCCTGGGCAGTAAGAGTGAAACTCCATCTCAAAAAAAAAAAAACAAGAAATTAGGTGTTGTGGGGGATACTAACAGTGAAAGAAAGCATAGATCCTGCCTTTGAAGATCAGAAAATCTATCACGAAAGAGAGAAAAGAGGCAGAGGGGAGGTCGCTTCCAAGATGGCCAAATAGGAACAGCTCTGGTCTGCAACTCCCAGCAAGATTGACACAGAAGACAGATGATTTCTGCATTTCCAACTGAGGTACCTGGTTCATCTCACTGGGACTGGTTGGGCAGTGGGTGCAGCCCACAGAGGGCTACCTGAAGCAGGGAGGGGCATCGCCTCATCCAGGAAACTCAAGGGGTCGGGGGATTTCCCTTTCCTAGCCAAGGGAAGCCGTGACAGACTGCACCTGGAGAAACGGTACATTCCTGACCAAATAGTGTACTTTTCCCACAGTCTTAACAACTGGCAGAACAGAAGATACTCTCCCGTGCCTGGTGCAGTGGGTCCCATGCCCATGGAGCCTTGCTCACTGCTAGCGCAGAAGTCTGAGATTGACCTGCGAGGCTGCAGCTTGATGGGGGGAGGGGCGTCCACCATTGCTGAGGCTTGAGTAGCTCACAGTGTAAACAAAGTGGCTGGGAAGCACCAAATGGGCAGAGCCCACTGCGGTCAGCAAGGCCTACTGCCTCTATAGATTCTACCTCTGTGGGCAGGGCATAGGAGAACAAAAGGCAGCAGACAGCTTCTACAGACTTAAATGTCCCTGTCTGACAGCTCTGAAGAGAGCAGTGGTTCTCTCAGAACGACGTTCAAGCTCTGAGAAGGGACAGACTGCTGCCTCAAGCGGGTCCCTGACCCCCGTGTACCTGACTGGGAAATATCTCCCAGTAGGGGCCGACAGACACCTCATACAGGCGGGTGCCCCTCTGGGACAAAGCTTCCAGAGGAAGGATCAGGCAGCAATATTTGCTGTTCTGCAGCCTCCGCTAGTGATACCCAGGCAAACAGGGTCTGGAGTGGACCTCCAGCAAACTCCAACAGACCTGCAGCTGAGGGGCCTGTTAGAAGGAAAACTAACAAACAGAAAGGAATAGCATCAACATCAACAAAAAGGACATCCACACCAAAACCTCATCTCTAGGTCACCAACATCAAAGACCAAAGGTAGATAAAACCACAAAGATGGGAAGAAACCAGAGCAGAAAAGCTGAAAATTCAAAAAAACAGAGTGCCTCTTCTCCTCCAAAGGATCACAGCTGGTCACCAACAAGGCAACAAAACTGGATGGAGAATGAGTTTGACGAGTTAACAGAAGTAGGCTTCAGAAGGTTGGTAATAACAAACTTCTCCGAGCTGAAGGAGCATATTTTAACCCGTTACAAGGAAGCTAAAAACCTTGACAAAAGGTTAGATGAATGGCTAACTAGAATAACCAGTGTAGAGAAGAGCTTAAATGACCTGATGGAGCTGAAAACCATGGCACAAGAACTTCGTGACACGTGCACAAGCTTCAATAGTCGATTCAATCAAGTGGAAGAAAGGATATCAGTGATTGAAGATCAAATTAATGAAATAAAGTGAGAAGACAAGATTAGAGAAAAAAGAGTGAAAAGAAATGAACAAAGCCTCCAGGAAATATGGGACTATGTGAAAAGACCAAATATGTATTTGATTGGTGTACCAGAAAGTGACGGGGAGAATGGAACCAAATTAGAAAACACTCTTCAGGATGTTATTCAGGAGAACCTCCCCAACCTAGCAAGGCAGGCCAACATTCAAATTCAGGAAATAATTGAACACCACAAAGAAACTCCTCGAGAAGAGCAACTCCAAGACACCTAATTGTCAGATTCACCAAGGTTGAAATGAACGAAAAAATGTTAAGGGCAGCCAGAGAGAAAGGTCAGGTTACCCACAAAGGGAAGCCCATCAGACTAACAGTGGATCTCTCGGCAGAAACCCTATAAGCCAGAAGAGAGTGGGGGCCAATATTCAACATTCTTAAAGAAAAGAATTTTCAACCCAGAATCTCATGTCCAGCCAAAATAAGCTTCATAAGTGAAGGAGAAATAAAATCCCTTACAAACAAGGAAATGCTGAGAGATTTTGTCACCACCAGGCCTGCCTTACAAAAGCTCCTGAAGGAAGCACTAAATATGGAAAGGAACAACCGGTACCAGCCACTGCAAAAACACGACAAACTGTAAAGACCATCGATGCTAGGAAGAAACTGCATCAACTAACGGGCAAAATAACCAGCTAACATCATAATGACAAGATCAAATTCACACATAAAAATATTAACCTTAAATGTAAATGGGCTAAATGCCCTAATTAAAAGACACAGACTGGCAAATTGGATAAAGAGTCAGGACCCATCGGTGTGCTGTATTCATGAGACCCATCTCACATGCAAAGACACATAGGCTCAAAATAAAGGGATGGAGGAAGATCTACCAAGCAAATGGGAAAAAAAAAAAAAAAAAAAAAGGAGGGGTTGCAATCCTGGTCTCTGATAAGACAGACTTTAAAACAACAAAGATCAAAAGAGACAAGGCCATTACATAATGGTAAAGGGATTAATGCAACATGAAGAGCTAACTATCCTAAACATATATGCACCCAATAGAGGAGCACCCAGATTCATAAAGCACATCCTTAGAGACCTACAAAGAGACTTAGACTCCCACACAATGATAATGGGAGATTTTAACACCCCACTGTCAATATTAGACAGATCAACAAGACAGAAGGTTAACAAGGATACCCAGGACGTGAACTCAGCTCTGGATCAAGTAGACCTAATAGAAAGACATCTACAGAACTCTACAACCCAAATCAACAGAATATGCATTCTTCTCAGCACCACATCGTACTTATTCCAAAATTAACCACATAATTGATACTAAAACACTCCTCAGCAAATGTAAAAGAACAGAAATCACAACAAGCTGTCTCTCAGACCACAGTGCAATCAAATTAGAACTCAGGATTAAGAAACTCACTCAAAACCACAGAACTACATGGAAACTGAACAACCTGCTCCTGAATGACTACTGGGTAAACAACGAAATGAAGGCAGAAATAAAGATGTTCTTTGAAACCAATGAGAACAAAGACACGATGTACCAGAATCACTGGGACACATTTAAAGCAGTGTGTAGAGGGAAATTTATAGCACCAAATGCCCACAAGAGAAAGCAGGAAAAACCTAAAATTGACACCCTAACATCACAATTAAAAGAACTAGAGAAACAAGAGCAAACAAATTCAAAGGCTACCAGAAGGCAAGAAATAACTAAGATCAGAGCAGAACTGAAGGAGATAGAGACACAAAAAACCCTTCAAATAAATCAATGAATCCAGGAGCTGTTTTTTTGAAAAGATCAACAAAATAGACCACTAGCAAGACTAATAAAGAAGAAAAGAGAGAAGAATCAAATAGATGCAATAAAAAATGATAAAGGGGATATCACAACTGATCCCACAGAAATACAAACTACCATCAGAGAATACTATAAACACCTCTATGCAAATAAACTAGAAAATCTAGAAGAAATGGATAAATTCCTGGATACTTACAACCTCCCAAAACTAAACCAGGAAGAAGCTGAATCTCTGAATAGACCAATAACAGGCTCTGAAATTGAGACAATAATTAATAGCCTACCAACCAAAAAAAGTCCAAGACCAGACGAATTCACAGCCGAATTCTACCAGAGGTACAAAGAGGAGCTGGTGCCATTCCTTCTGAAACTATTTCAATCAATAGAAAAAGAGGGAATCCTCCCTAACTCATTTTATGAGGCTAGCATCATCCTGATACCAAAGCCTGGTAGAGACACAACAAAAAAAGAGAATTTTAGGCCAATATACCTGATGAACATCAATGCAAAAATCTTTAATAAAATACTGGCAAACAGAATTTAGCAGCACCTCAAAAAGCTTATCCACCATGATCAAGTCAGCTTCATTCCTGGGATGCAAGGCTTGTTCAACATACACAAATCAATACACATAATCCATCAAGTAAACAGAACCAATGACAAAAACCACATGATTATCTCAATTGATGCAGAAAAGGCTTTAGACAAAATTCAACAGCCCTTCATGCTAAAAACTCTCAATAAACTAGGTATTAATGGAATGTATCTCAAAATAATAAGAGATATTTATGACAAACCCACAGGCAATATCATACTGAATGGGCAAAAACTGGAAGCATTCCCTTTGAAAACTGGCACAAGACAAGAATGCCCCCTCTCACCATTCCCAATCAACATAGTGTTGGAAGTACTGTCCAGGGCAATCAGGCAAGAGAAAGAAATAAAGGGTTTTGAATTAGGAAAAGAGGAAGTCAAATTGTCTCTGCAGATGTTTCTAAGTTGTATATTTAGAAAACCCCATCGTCTCAGCCCCAAATTTCCTTAAGCTGATAAGCAACTTCAGCAAAGTCTCAGGATACAAAATCAATGTGCAAAAATCACAAGCATTCCTATACACCAATAATAGAGAGCCAAATCATGAGTGAACTCCCATTCACAATTGCTACAAAGAGAATAAAATACCTAGAAATCCAACTTACAAGGGATGTGAAGGACCTCTTCAAGGAGAACTACAAACCACTGTTCAATGAAATAAAAGATGACACAAACAAATGGAAAAACATTCCATGCTCATGGATAGGAAGAATCAATATCATGAAAATGGCCAACCTGCCCAAGGTAATTTATAGATTCAATGCTATCCCCATCAGGCTACCAATGACTTTCTTCACAGAACTGGAAAAAACTACTTTAAACTTCATATGGAATAAAAAAAGGCCTGCATAGCCAAGACAATCCTAAGCAAAAAGAACAAAGCTGGAGGCAACATGCTACCTGACTTCAAACTATACTACAAGGCTACAGTAACCAAAACAGCATGGTACTGGTACCAAAACAGATATATAGACCAATGGAACAGAACAGAGGCCTCAGAAATAACACCACACATCTACAACCCTCTGATCTTTGACAAGCCTGACAAAAACAAGCAATGGGGAAAGGATTCCCTATTTAATAAATGGTGCTGGGAAAACTGGCTAGCCATATGTTGAAAGCTGAAACTGGATCCCTTCTTTACACCATATACAAAAATTAACTTAAGATGGATAAAAGACTTAAATGTAAGACCTAACATCATAAAAATGCTAGAAGAAAACCTAAGCAATACCATTGAGGACATAGGCATGGGCAAAAAGTTCATGACTAAAACACCAAAAGCAATGGCAACAAAAGCCAAAATTGACAAATGGGATCTAATTAAACTAAAGAGCTTCTGCACAGCAAAAGAAACTATCATCAGAGTGAACAGGTAACCTAAAGAATGGGACAAAATCTT
This sequence comes from Homo sapiens, assembly GCF_000001405.40. Lineage (NCBI taxonomy): Eukaryota > Metazoa > Chordata > Mammalia > Primates > Hominidae > Homo > Homo sapiens. The sequence goes on from NC_000004.12 coordinate 108,999,203, forward strand.
TGCAATCTATCCATCTGACAAAGGGCTAATATCCAGAATCTACAAAAAACTTACACAAATTTGCAAGAAAAAAACAAACAACCCCATCAAAAAGTGGGCAAAGGATATGAACAGACACTTCTCAAAAGAAGACATTTATGCAGCCAACAGACATATGAAAAAATGGTCATCATCACTGGTCATTAGAGAAATGCAAATCAAAACCACAATGAGATACCATCTCACACCAGTTAGAATGGCAATAATTAAAAAGTCAGGAAACAACAGATTCTGGAGAGGATGTAGAGAAATAGGAATGCTTTTACACTGTTGGTTGGACTGTAAACTAGTTCAACCATTGTGGAAGACAGTGTGGCGATTCCTCAAGGATCTAGAACTAGAAATACCATTTGACCCAGCAATCCCATTACTGGGTATATACCCAAAGGATTATAAATCATGCTACTATAAAGACACATGCACACGTATGTTTATTACGGCACTATTCACAATAGCAAAGACTTGGACCCAACACAAATGTCCATCAGTGATAGACTGGATTAAGAAAATGTGGCACATATATACCATGGAATACTATGCAGCCATAAAAAAGGATGAGTTCATGTCCTTTGCAGGCACATGGATGAAGCTGGAAACCATCATTCTCAGCAAACTATCACAAGGACAGAAAACCAAACACCACATGTTCTCACTCGTAGGTGGGAGATGAACAACAAGAACACATGGACACAGGGCAGAGAACATCACACACCGGGGCCTGTTGTGGGGTGGGGGCCTGGGGGAGGGATATCATTAGGAGAAATACCTAATGTAAATGACAAGTTGATGAGTATATCAAACTAACATGGCACATGTATACCTATGTAACAAACCTGCACATTGTACACATGTGCCCTAGAACTTAAAGTATAACAATAAAAAAAAGCTCTGCAAAAAAAAGAGAGAAAGGAAAAAAGTGTTCATGAATAATTATAATACAATTTAAAGAGGAAACTGGAGGAAGGAAATTAATATTCACTGAGTGATTGCTATGGACTAGGCACCACATTAGACATCTTACATATATTATTTCAGTCCTCACACTGTTGAGATAAGACATAATTATCTCTGCTGTACAGATGAGGAAAATGAGACTAGCGTGATTGAGTAACTTGCCAAAGATAGATAGTTTGTCAGTGGTAAAGCTGGGATTTGAATTATGTAATCTGTCTGACCAAAGTCCATGCCCCTCTATTTTAATTGTAAAGTGTTATATAAAAAGTGCCAGACTTGGTGGCTCATGCCTGTAATCCCAGCACTTTGGGAGGCTGAGGCAGGAGGATCACCTGAGGTCAGGAGTTTGAGACCAGCCTGGCCAACATGGTGAAGCCCCATCTCTACTAAAGATACAAAAATTAGCTGGGCATGATGGCACAAACCTGTAATCCCAGCTACTCAGGAGGCTGAGGCAGGAGAATAATTTTAACCCCGGAGGCAAAGGTTGCAGTGAGCCGATATTGTGCCACTGCACTCCAGCCTGGGCAACAGAGTGAGACTCTGTCAAAAAAAAAAAAAAAAAAAAAAAAAGAAAAAACTATACACATAACACTTTGTCAGGATTCAGAAAAAGGGAGAAATTACATTTAGTTAAGGGAGAGTAAAGACTTCTTAATAGAAGAAGCAGCATTCAAATACGAAGGGGTATCCTATTTGGATGTGTGGAAACTGAGTGTGTCTAAGGATTCGGAGGAAAGGCTACTGGAAGAAAAGGCAAAAAGAAAAAGAAGATTTGAAGAGAAAAGAAGTAAATGGTTTGATTTGGTTTGGTGAAGCATAGTCTAGAAAGGGCATTAATGAAAAATTAATGGGAGATTAGGCTAGAAAACAGGCCAGATAAGAGGATTTGAATGTCAAGCAAGAATCTAGATTCTATTGTATTCTAAATGAAAACCATTAAGACTCAAGGTTTTGAGGTCAGAAGAGTGACATAATCAGAACTATGATATATAATTGTATTAGGATACTAGTGGTTGATAGTACACTCAATCCTAAATGCCTGCACTACAGATACAGAAAAAAAGCTAACTACTCACTTTCCTGACTTGCCTCCCTGCAGCAATGAGTGGCCAGACAACAGGCATATCTTCGCAGCGTGCAGAATGGCAATGGGGAAACCACAGTTAAAAGAAACAGGCATCTGAGATCCTGTCAGGTAGGCATCTGAGATCCTGTCAGGTAGGCAGTGAGCTAGAGGGTTTTAACTGTTCAGTCTGCCATTGGCAAAGCTGCACAAAGTATTAGTACTGTGACTTGAATACCTGTCAGTAATGAGGAAAGGGAAAGGAGAACTGGGATGAAGAGTATAAGGTAGAAAGGGAATGCAGAGTTGAGGATCCAGGAAATGACTTAGTTCCAGAACAAGGGTTTTTGAATCTGAGCAGAAACTCAATTATCAGAGAACTAAGGCATGACTCTAGGACCATTCTTAGGATAACAGTATTGATCCTGAGTCACCTGCATGTTGGAAAAGGGCCTATTTAAATGCCTCATGTTTAAGGTCTCCATTGAACCTGGAGATTACCCAGATGTGCAGGTGGAGATTAGCCAGAGCAGGATTTGCAGGTGAGGTTAAAGTCATCCTTGGAAGGGATGGGTCTGAACATTTGAGAACTCTGACACTTTATAGACTATTATTGATAATATTAAAAGTACTATCACAAGAGATGTGACATTTTTCCAAAGAAGATATACCTAGGGCCAACAGGGATATGAAAAGGTGCTCCACATCACTAATCATCAAGGAAATGAAAATCAAACCATAGTGAGTTATCACCTCACACCTGTCAGAATGGCTATTGTAAAAAAGACAAAAGATAACAAGTGTTGGTAAGGATGTAGAGCAAAGGGAATCCTCGTACACGGTTGGTAGGGATGTCAATTAGTATAACCATCATGGAGAATTGTATAGAGGTTTCTCAAAAAATTAAAATAGAACTACTACCATAGGACCTAGCAATCCCACAGCTGGGTATATATCTGAAGGAAGTGAAATCAGTATGTTGAAGAGATATCTGCATGCACGTGTTCATTGCAGCATTTCTCACAATAGTCAAGATATGGAATCAACCTAAATGTCTATTAGCTGATGAACAGGTAAAGAAACTGTGGTATACATACACAATGGAATATTATTTAGCCACAAAAAAGACTACCCTGCCATTTGCAACAACATGGATAAACCTGGATGACATTGTGCTAAGTGAAATAAACCAGACACAGAAATATAAATATTTTATAATCTAATTTATATGTGAAATCTAAAGAGGTCAAACTCATAGAAGCATAGAACAAAGGCTGGAGGGTGGCAGAAATGGGGAGATGTTGGTAAAAGGGTACAAATTTTCAGTTACAAGATGAACAAGTTCTGAGGATTGAATATACAACATGGGTGGTGAAAAATACGTTAATTTGATTGTTATAATATTGCACAATGTATATGTATGTGAAATCATTACACTGTACATCTTGAGTATATTCAGTCTTTATTTGTCTACTAAGTAGTTTTAAATAAAAATATAGATACATTTTTTTTTTGTTTTACTTTAAGTTTTGGGATACATATGCAGAACTTGCAGGTTTGTTACACAGGTATGCATCTGCCATGGTGGTTTGCTGCACCTATCAACCCATTATCTAGGTTTTAAGCCCCGCATGCATTAGGTATTTGTCCTAATGCTCTCCCTCTCCTTGCCCCTGACCCCTGACAGGTTGCAGTGTGTGATGTTCCCCAACCTGTGTCCATGTGTTCTCATTGCTCAACTCCCACTTATGAGTGAGGACATGTGGTGAGGACATTTGCTTTTCTGCTCCTGTGTTAGTTTGCTGAGAATGATGGCTCCAAAAGCAATTGCAACAAAATCCAAAATTGACAAATGGGACCTAATTAAACTAAGAGCTTCTGCATAGCAAAAGAAACTATCATCAGAGTAAACAGGCAACCTACAGAATGGGAGAAAACTTTTGCAATCTATCCATCTGACAAAGGTTTAATATCCAGAATCTACATAGAACTTAAACAAATTTATACAATTTTTAAAATTAAAAAAACCAGAACTACCACAAGAACAGAGACTGGGTCTGCTTATCCACCACAATTACACTGCCTTATTGTGCCTTGCACATTGTACCTTATATATAGGGGCTAAATAATACTTGTTGAGTAGTTAATTGAATTATGTTAATATGAATTAATGAACAAATGTCAGGGTAACTTTCATTTCAATAAATTTAGCCTTACCCTTAAATAATTCTCATTACTTCTAGTTTGAAATATAAAAGGCCGGGCATGGTGGCTCACGCCTGTAATCCCAGCACTTCAGGAGGCCAAGGCAGGTGGATCACCTGAGGTCAGGAGTTCGAGACCAACCTGACCAACATGGTGAAACCCAGTCTCTACTAAAAATACAAAAGGTAGCCTGGCGTGGTGGCGGACGCCTATAATCCCAGCTACTCTGGAGGCTGACACATGAGAATAGTTTGAACCCGGGAGGCAGGGTTGCAGTGAGCCAAGATCGCGCCATTGCACTCCAGCCTGGGCAACAGAGCGAGACTCCATCTCAAAAACAAAAACAAAAACAAAAAAACGAAATATAAATGCTCATCTGCCTTTTCTTTCATTTCCCTTTCTTCTTTCTGCCTTTACCCTCTGTTGTTACTTGTTATTTTTCCAAGTTGCTGTGACATTATTTACTTTATTCCCTTTCTTTTCCTCTCCAAGAGTTTTATTTCCCTTGATTCAGGAGATTCACAGCAACATCCTCTCTCTTCATTTCCCTGGCCCTTTTTCCATCTTAACCACAGCTGTGAGAATTGCTTTTTTAATTTTTTTTCATTCTAATACCCTTTCACCATCTCATTTCCCTTGTCAAGAACCATTTTCTCACCCATTTAGGTAAATGCAAAGACTCACCTCTCTTCCCTAAGGTCTCCTTTCTTATTTAATTTCATCCTATGACTGTAAAAGAGTTTGTTGCCATTTAGCTTTCTAGTCCCAGCAATTCTTAACAATCTACGCTGTCTTCAGCTTTAGGAAGACGATCAGAACCACTCACTGAATAATAGACAGTTTCCCTTTTTACCATCAGTCTGCAAAATAAAACCTTAGTAATCTGGAAGGCTTTACAAAATAACATGTGATATAGAAGTAGAATTGAGGTTTGTGTTTTTTTTTTTTAACTCTCTAAGGAGGAGTTTTGCACTGTATAATATAAATACTATGAATAAGATGATGTGGGAACGACAGAGTTTGGATATTTGCCCCCGCCCAAATCTCTTGTTGAAATGTAATCCCTAGAGTTGGAGGTAGAGCCTGGTGGGAGGTGACTGGATCATGGGGGTGGATTTCTCATGAATGATTTAGCATCCTCTTGGTGCTGTCCTCAAGATAGTAAATTCTCACAAGATCTGGGTGTTGAAAAGTGTGTGGCACCTTCTCTCTCTCTCTCCTGCTTTTGCCATGTGACGTGCCTGCTCCCCCTTTGCCTTCCACTATGATTGTAAGCTTCCTAAGACTTCCCTAGAAGCTGAGCAGATGCCAGCACTATGCTTCCTGTAAAGCCTGCAGTACCGTGAGCCAGTTATATCTCTTCTGTTTATAAATTACCAGTTTCATGTATTTATTTATAACGATGCAAGAACAGCTTAACAAAGAGAATGTTCAGCCTATGCGAGACAATTCTCACTGATGTAAACATTTGCACGGGAAAAACAAGTTAATTACAATTCTGTCCAAGTCTTTTAATAAACTTTAAAGGATGCCCAATCCCTATATTAGTCCATTCTTGCACTGCTGTAAAGAAATACCTGAGACTAAGTAATTTACAAAGAAAACAGGCTTAACTGGCTCACAATTCTGCAGGCTGCACAGGAAGCATAGCAACTTCTGCTTCTGGGGGAGGCCTCAGGAAGCTTCCTTGCCAATCATGGTATAAGGCAAAGGGGGAGCCAGCACTTCACAAGGTCAGAGCAGCAGCAAGAGAGAGGTGGCAGGGAGTTGCTACACACATTTTTAAACAACTAGATCTTATGAGAACTAGTCAGAAGAACAGCACCAAGGTTGTGGTGCTAAACCATTCATGAAATATTCACCCCTATGATCCAATCACCTCCCATCAGGCCACACCTCCAACATTGGGAATTACAATTCACATGAGATTGAGTGGGAACACAGATCTAAACCATATCAATCCCCCAACTTAAACATTTACAACCCTTTTTTGGGGGAAGTATTTTGTTTGGAAACCTAATTAGATCTTCCTGTAGGAATCACAATATGAATATGGTTTATTTTCCCAGCCTAATCCACAAAAGCCTATTCCTAAAGTACCTAAAACATATCCCCATAGTATAATAGAAGTAGACCATTATTAGTAATAGTGTCTTAATGAAAAATCCATTGAAAGTCAGAAGTGTAGATTAGAAGAGTCTGAATGACACGGTCATGACTCAGACAGGGGTGGGAAATGTGGGTTTAAGGGTTGGCTAAGGGAGAATTTGTTTGTAGAAACCTTGCACAGATGACAAGCTGTCTTCCTTAACTAGCTGCAAAAGAAGACAGGGAGTGAAAGAAGAAGTTTTGCAGTGTCCATACCCTTCCATTTTCCCAGAGCTAACAGCATGTGCTAGGGAGACCCAGAGCTGGAGAGGAACAGAATTATCAGGCCAGTTATGTTGAATTGTACATAAATAACAAAAAACAAATTTTGACATTTTAGGTCAAAATCTTATAAAATCAAAGAAATCAAAAGGGTTGACATTTTAAGAAAAAAAGTAGGTATCATTTTGAGTCAACAAAAAGAAGAGGAAAAAAGAAAAAGAAGATAATCAAAATTTCAAGTTCCTGTTACTAGACATATACTGTATGTGAAAAGGATCATTTTCAGTGAGCCAAGTAAACAGAACATGGAAATTTTAAGAAAAATTTGATCAAATAAAAGAAAGCTTTCAACAACTTAAAAACCCATAACAAGCTTCTAATTTTGTGGGGGGGTGGCGGGTGGGTCTCACTCTGTTGCCCAGGCTGGAGTCCAGTGGAGCTATCTTGGCTCACTGCAACCTCCATCTCAGGTTCAAGCGGTTCTCCTGCCTCAGCCTCCCTAGTAGCTAGGGTTATAGGTGTGCACTGCCACACCCAGCTAATTTTTTTTTTTTTTTTTTTTTTTTTTTTTTTTGGTATTTTTAGGAGAGACAGGGTTTTACCATTTTGGCCAGGCTGGTCTCAAACACCTGACCTCAAGTGATCTGCCTGCCTTGGCCTCCCAAAGTGTTGGGATTACAGGTGTGAGCCACCGTGTTCAGTCTCTAATTTGGGTTTTAAATGCATATTACTTATTAATACACTGCATGTACCTTATAGATCTATGTTAAACAGATTTAATGTACAGTTTATGCAAATTTACTCAAAGAAAAAGTAGGCTCATAGTAAGGTGTTAATGTAAGATTTAATTTTATAAAATACAAAAACTCTGCTGCACATATTGATAATCAAATCTACTACATGTATCATTTCTAAGTGCTCATATTTATGATAGATAAAATTTGTTTTGTGGTTGAAAGCCTATTTAAGGAACAGAAAACCAAACACCGCATGTTCTCATTTATAAGTGGCAACTGACTGATGAGAACACATGGACTCATTGTGGGGAGCAACACACATTGGGCACCTGTGGGGGCTTGGGGGAAGAAAGAGCATCGGGAAGAATAGCTAATGGATTCTGGGCTTAATACCTGGGTGATCAGACGATCTGTGCTGTAAACCACCATGACACACGTTTACCTGTGTAACAAACCTGCACATCCTGCATATGTAACCCTGAACTTAAAATAAAAGTTGAAGATAAATAAAAATAAATAAAACCCATTTTGCTGAAGAGTAATTTTTAAAAAGTCAGTTTAAGGTCCACTTTTTTTGTAAAAGAAAATTTCCCAAGAGCAGAGCAGGGGTTAGGAAAGTAACACATTACAATAGGTAATGGGGAAAACAAAATATACAGATGGATAGGAGCCTATATAAAATTCATCTATAATTTTAAAAATATCAGAGAAAAGCTAATGACCATCAAGCACCAAATGCAAAACTTCATTAAGTGCTATTTAATTTCAAATCTAACAATGGAAGTATCATAAATATGAGCACTTAGAAATGATACATGTAGTAGATTTTGGAAAAATATTATGATAATGATGTAGGCATAAGAGGTAGGCCAGACTTTTCCTTGGGGACACAACAACAACTCTTCGCTCCTTTTTTGTGCTGTAGAAAGATCACGTGAGGGTATGTCTTGGCTTCACGTTTTCCCTAATACCTATCCTTCCTCAATTTATTGACTTCCTTTTGCTGTGATGTGAGGAAGACATTTTAAACTAAATGATCATGAGATTTCACATCCACTAAAGGCAAACTGGTAGCCAAAACAAAGGAAACCAGAGCAGGTTTCTAATGGGACCATTTGAAAATGCTGGTCCCAGCCTCCTTGCAAATTTTCAACATTTTCCAGCATAGGCAGTTAGGTAGACTATGTTTCTGCAGAGCCATAGTAAATATAGGACCTGATGTGAAGGTGTTCTGAAGTGCCATGATATACGTTCATTCTTAGCCACCATCATCCACGGTTCTCCTGGTCCTGTCCATTCTTGGTTTCCAGTGCTGGTTTATGATCTTTCTTCTGTTTATTAACTGTGGCTGTATACTCAAGATTTACTATGACTGTGTTTCTTTTTACAGTTACTCTCTTTAGTATCTTATTAACTACTATGCATTTAATGCTGCCTTTATATTTAATTTCCCAAGTCTTTCTATTCATATCTGAATTTTCTACTCTGTCTTGTCTATAAGACACGAGCACTTGGATGTTGTGGCAGATGTAGGTGCCTGCCCACCACTATCTGCTCCAAGACAGTGCTAGAATACAGGTCCCATATGTCCCTCTGGCTTCCTAAATTCCTTTCACAGCAGGCCAGGAGTGCTGAAAAGCCAACATCCAGCTGTGAACGTCAACAGTAAAGGCAGGGAACTTAGTGGATAAATCCATCAACTTCCTTGTCCCTCTTTGGGATGATTCTGGGACATGCTCTACATAGTCTCTCAAGATTCCTCAGCAGGATTGAGCCCCATTTGTCCACAGCAGAAACTTGCTAATTGAGGCATCCATTTTTTGGTTTTGTTGCCTTCCCTGTGTCATTTCTCCACTCTCTCACGATGCTTTCTAGGATCATCTCTCAAATAAGTTATTTATGCTCAAATTCTTAAGAAATGCTTTGGGATGTGGGAAAGAAGGTCCAGCTAAGACAGAGGTCCTATTAAAAATTAAAATATGTTAAAGATTACAATCTCTCAAAACCAACTCATCAACTTCTTTTATCATCTGCTGTCTCACCACCTTCTTTCAAGGGCTGAGCACTACAAGGTATGAGGGTTTTAGAGACAGACTTCAGTTAACCTCCCAGTTTATGGTGTCATTCATGTGAGTAATTTATCTCTTCTGTTTCTGTATGTTTATACACATACATGCGCGCGCACACACACACACACACACACGTAGGATAATAATACTTTCCAAGGCTGTTGTAAGCATCAAATAAAAGAAAGCATGCAAGCTGAGTACGGTGGCTTATGCCTGTAATCCCAGCATTTTGGGAGGCCAAGGTGGGTAGATCACCTGAGGTCAGGAGTGGAGTTCAAGACCAGCCTGGCCAACATGGTGAAACCTCATCTCCACTAAAAATACAAAAATTAGCCAGGCATGGTGGCAGGTGGCCTGTAATCCCAGCTACTTGGGTGGCTGAGACAGGAGAATCACTTGAACCCGGGAGGCGGAAGTTGCAGTGAGCCGAAACTGCACCATTGCACTCCAGCCTGGGCAACAGAGCAAGACTCCGTCTCAGAAAAAACAAAACAAAACAAAACAAAAAACAAAAGAAACTATGCGAAGCATCTTTTACTTTGTCTTCATTCCATTGTAATATGGCCATTTCAAATTTAGCAAACAAGCTATAACTTTCTTCCGTGGGTTTTATTCCATTAATAATTGCCTTGAACCAACATGGAATACAAGAGTGAAAATCACAAATAATGAGAATATAGGTATTTTCAGATATCAATATAAGTTAATTAAAAGTCAAAACTTTCTCATAAGCTTGGTGTGAAAAGAACTTGTTTACTGAAGTATGTGGAATGTTTTGCTTCATTAGACATCTATATACAGAGATCATAAAAAGCATAAATAATATTCTTATGATCTGGTATGAGGTGGAGTACACAATAGATAATTCATGATATTGACTACAAAACTATCATGAAAATGGCTTATTTGTGAAACAATCTAAGGCAGAAATAACATTCAGTACATCAAGGGTAAAGAGATGGAAGATGAGTTCAGTAAATAATTATATTATTTATAGGCACTACAGTATTAAAAGTAAAACATTAATAACTGCATTTTCTTCTCTATAGAATCCTAGGGATTATAATTAGTATTGATATTGAATTTGTTGTTTGTTGAGTTTCTCGTACTGACTTTTCATTTCTGAAAACTCACGTATTTTTTTGTATTTCCATCTTCATGCCACATTCCTCCCCTTCCTAAAATTTGCTCATTTTCTTCAATATGGGCTCAATAAGATTTTCTGTTGACCGCATTCATGCTTAATTATAAATCATGTCTTCGGCAGTTGTTTCTAAATTAAAAATTCAATATCTGTCTATAATGAATCAAAAGTAGCTAGTAGGATCACAGTCTAAATAATCAGAGTCTGCAGGGATTCACAACAACATTATTAGTACATGATTAATCAGTACATAATGCAAACCAGTTCATACTCGACTTTTATGTCATGCTGTCTTACATTACAGTCCTGTGGCACTGTTTCAGATCAGTTAAGAGTTTTGCTTTATATGATAGTACATTGTTAAATCTGCCATCTGGCCCAACAGCTGATGTGGCTCACACAACCCTGAAGAGGCCCCAAGGGTTTACTCCTGGGAAATATTTGGTCTACTGTGTGGTGTTGTGATTATCAGTTCATAGCTTTTTTATATCTTTTGAAAGAATTGCAGAAAGACCTCCACACTGGGAAAATCCTAAATTGAAAATAATTTGCTAGAAAAGAATTACCTTACCTGAGGACCAGGCTGTCCCTGAAATTAAAAAGAAAAAGAAAAACAATTACAAAATTGTATCCTAAGTGAATATTTTCACTACCAAAACTGAAACTAGTTCTGGAAATATTCACAAATATTTCTGAAGATAATATCCTAACTACTGACAGATTTCACTTGTGGCTTTAAAAAATCATATCACATCCTGCTAGTTTTACTTTATGCTATTTATCTAAAATCCTGATATTATAGTCTATTTAACTCCAAAATGACCCTAGGGTTTTAGCATGCTCTAAAATTTAATTGGAAAAAGAGAAGGCAGAAGGAATACCACACCTAGTATTACTGTGATGAAGGGGTTACTTAAAGAAAGAGTCTTGCAGCATAGGCTGTGAGCCCAAACTATGAGCTATTCAAAGCGCAGACTGTGAGCTACATATTCAAACATGACAGAGTTACGTTTTAAAAAAACAAAGGCAGATACTTTAGTGTTAGAGCTCATCAAGTCTCTTAACTTCTCATTATTTCAATAACATTTTAAGTTAATTTAAAAAATAAACCTTTATCTTTTATTCTGCATAACTGAGCCTAAGGACATTTTAAAAGGATATCAGAGGTCTTTGGATCATGCATCCTAACTCTTCACACAGTCAATGGATTATGTGACCTCTGTCCAATCTAATTTATTTTGAATGTCATTTTCTTATTTAAGCTGATCAAAAATTTCAAAGCAGTATAACTGTAAATGCTTCTAGCTAAAGATCAATCACCTGTGAATAAAAGTATGGATTTCATATCACCTTCTTAAAATCTCCAACTGGATTTTGTATCAGATGAGATTAAAGAAAATGTTCACACTGAGTTAAGAAATCTTAAAAAGTAAATAAATAATGTGTAGTGTCATTGTCTCAGCTGTGTGGCACCAAGTATCACACAGGAAAGTGTGGAGCTAATACAACTCCCAGAGAAGGCCCAGGAACTGTCTCTCTTAGCCTCTCTCCAGGCTTGCAATTTCCTTAGGTACTTGTTCTCTAACTCACTGGGGATAGAACAGATGATTTCCAAGAACTTTGCCTGAAAATGTAGTTGGCAGGTCAAACTAGGAAGGGGAGCCAAACCAAGTCACTGCAGATGTTACTCACCCCACTCCTGTACTCTCCAGTGGTGGAGAGAGAGAGAAAGAGAATAACATTTATTAATTCCTTACCAAGTGCCAGACACTTTGGGATATGCTATTATATTTATTTCTTATAACTGCCCTGAATTTTTCAGATGGAGAAACTGAGGCTCAGAGAAATAAGCTAAAGGTCACAACTTATATAAATTTATAGAAAAGCCAGAATTTAAACCCAAATCTGATTTTAAGGTTTATGCATTTTCTACCAGGTCACTCTGCCTTTCGGCCTAGAAGTTTAAGCTGACATTTACATACAGACTTGTTCAGATCAACTATGGTACAAGAGCATTCTTCAAGTGCTTAACACTCTCAACTTGCCAACCACTCCAGGACTGCCACAGCATGAATCTTTGCTTCCAGAAGCATACCTAGGACCAGTAGGCATTCCTACCTGCAACTGATACGTATACAGAAGCCAGTTCAGCAAAGCTTCTTGAGGGTAATAGCTCTAAAATCAGCACTAAACGTAGAGAAGATTTCTATGGAGACACTATGAAGGTTTTTTGTTTGTTCATTTGTTATAGGGTCTCACTCTGTTGCCCAGGCAGGAGTGTAGTGGCACAATCATGGCTCACCACAGTCTTGAACTCCCAGGCTCAAGTGATCCTTTGACTTCAGCCTCCCAAGTACCTGGGACTACAGGCACATGCCACTATGCCCCGCTAACTTTATTAAAAAAATTTTTTTGAGGTCTTGCTATGTTGCCTAGGCTGGCTACAAAGGTTTTCTCCCAAGAACCACTTATATGTAACTATGGATCTTTCCAGATCCATGTACTGGGTGAAATTGAGAGGTGACAACGTGCTAGCAGCCCTTGCTCACTCTCAGCACTTCCTCGGCCTTGGCGTTCGCTCTGGCTACGCTTGAGGAGCCCTTCAGCCCGCCACTGCACTGTGGGAGCCCCTGTCTGGGCTGGCCAAGGCCGGAGCTGGCTCCCTCTGCTTGCGGGGAGGTGTGGAGGGAGAGGCGCGGGCAGGAACTTGGGCTGCGTGCAGCGCTCGTGGGCCAGCGCGAGTTCCAGGTGGGCGCGGGCTTGGCGGGCCCACACTTGGAGCGGCCGGCCAGCCGGCGGTGCCAGCCCTGGGCAGTAAGGGGCTTAGCACCTGGGCCAGCAGCTGCAGAGGGGGCGCCAGGTCCCCCGGCACTGCTGGCCCGCCCGCACCACGCTTGAATTCTCACCGGGCCTCAGCCGCCTCTCCGCCGGGCAGGGCTCAGGACCTGCAGCCTGCCATGCCTGAGCCCCTCTGCAGTGGGCTCCCATGTGGCCCCAGCCTCCCTGACGGGTGCCGCCCCCTGCTCCGCAGCACCCAGTCCCATCGACAGCCCAAGGGCTGAGGAGTGCAGGCGCGTGGCATGGAAATGGAGGGCAGCTCCGCCAGCAGCCCTGGTGCGATCCACTAGGCGAAGCCAGCTGGGCTCCTGAGTCAGGTGGGAACTTGGAGAACTTTTATGTCTATGCAGAGGATTGTATATGCACCAATCAGCACTCTGTGTCTAGCTCAGGGTTCGTGGATGCACCAATCAGCACTCTGTATCTAGCTAATCTGGTAGGGACTTGAACTTTTACGTCTAGCTAAAGGATTGTAAATGCACCAATCAGCACTCTGTGTCTAGCTCAAAGTTTGTAAACGCACCAATCAGTGCTCTGTGTCTAGCTCAAAGTTTGTAAACGCACCAATCAGTGCTCTGTGTCTAGCTCAAGGTTTGTAAATGCACCAATCAGTGCTCTGTGTCTAGCTAATCTAGTGGGGACTTGGAGAACTTTTACATCTAGCTAGAGGATTGTAAATACACCAATCAGCACTCTGTTTCTAGCTCAGGGATTGTAAACGCACCAATCAGCACCCTGTCAAAAATGGACCAGTCAGCTCTCTGTAAAATGGGCCAATCAGCAGGATGTGGGTGGGGCCAGATAAGAGAATAAAAGCAGGCTGCCTGAGCCAGCAGCAGCAACTTGCTCGAGTCCCCTTCCACACTGTGTAGGCTTTGTTCTTTCACTCTTTGCAATAAATCTTGCTGCTGCTCACTCTTTGGGTCCACACTGCCTTTATGAGCTGTAACACTCACCACGAAGGTCTGCAGCTTCACTCCTGAGGCCAGCGAGACCACAAACCCACCAGGAGGAATGAACAACTCTGAACGGAAGGAATGAACAACTCCAGACGCGCCACCTTAAGAGCTGTTAACACTCACCGGGAAGGTCTGCAGCTTCACTCCCGAAGCCAGCGAGACCACGAACCCAACCGAAGGAAGAAACTCTAAGCACGTCCGAACATCAGAAGGAACAAACTCCGGACACACCATCTTTAAGAACTGTAACACTCACCATGAGAATCCGTGGCTTCATTCTTGAAGTCAGTGAGACCAAGAGCCCACCAATTTCAGACACAAAATTACAAACATGTGGTCACTCTTGTGCACTCCTCCCCCACCCCACCAACCCCCCTCAGCTTTAAGCTTTTGGTCTTTCTGATGTTTTGAACTACTGCAAACTCAGAAATGTGAACATGTGGCTGGGTGTGGTGGCTCATGCCTGTAATTCCAGCACTTTGGGAGGCCGAGGTGGGCGGTTCACTTGAGGTCAGGGGTTTGAGACTAGCCTGGCAAATATGGTGAAACCCCGTCTCTACTAAAAATACAAAAATTAGCTGGGCGTGGTGGCACGCACCTGTAATTCCACCTACTTGGGAGGCTGAGGTGAGAGAATCACTTGAGTCCGGGGGGCAGAGGTTGCAGTGAGCTGAGACTGTGCCACTGTACTCTAGCCTCAGTTATAGAGTGACACTCTGTCTCAAAAAAAAAAAGTGTAAACATGAATATTTTATAGAATCCCAGAATATATTGCATCTCTTATATGTGTTATGTGAAAGTTAAAATGCAGGATTCTCTAAAATCAGGAAGAACTTCTTCAAATGAAAAATTTGTTTAGTATAGTTGTGATATTTTCAGACTCCTCTGGTGGTTCTACAAGTGACAGACTTTTCCTGTCCATCTTTAATACGTCGCATTCCTGCCATTATACTGACCAAATGATATGGCACAATGTGTGCATACACTTATATGTTATTATATAAAATATACATTGCATTATGGATTTTATGTTAGTGATAGAACAAACAGCCATAAATGACTGTTTACTACTAAAAACTGACATCTATATAGGCATTGAAGAATTTATAGCACTAAAGAACTCAGATTACTCTAACATGTAATATGAATTTCAGGGATGTATGGTGTGTGTGTTGGGGGAGGGAACATGAAAAGGAGGGAAAAGAGGAAGTGGTTGATAGAGACGCTTCCCAGAGAAACAAAGCATACAATGTAACAAATTCGGAAACTCTTATCTAAAACTTGGAATACACAACACAGTCCTTACCACTCTTCTATGAGATTCCAGGACTGCCTATACCACGTCCTCTCACTCACTAGGATGTAACAATCGACACCTAAAATATCTGCAAAAAGACAGTCCGGCAGCGCCGAGTCTTGCAGTCGTCCTAATAGAGCCATCTGGCCAAACCAGGGCCATGACCAGAGGAGAGGTTTCTGGTGATATGGTAATGGTATCTGCTCTGAGCAGGAGCCATGGAATAGAGGGAGAGCAGGAGAGTGTCTCAGAAACTTCCTAGAGACTGAGAGCGTGTGGTGATAGAGACTTTGTCCCAGACTAATCAAAAAGAAACACCTCAGCATTTCCTTAAGTTGCTTCTGAGTAGCTTGATTAATACAAATATTTTCATTCGTTACTGAGTAGTATTGTTCTAGTCTATTGTAATTTAAAGGTAGTGACCACTATTAATAATTAACTGTGAAGGTTAACTTTTTCTAAAGGACAACCTGAATGAGTAGTTGTAAATTATGATTAAGGGTCACAAAACACACCGTAAGTTGCCTTTTTAAAAATGGAATTCCTGAAAAGATCATTTTTCCCAAGCAAATCACCAAAATGCTTCATAAATAAAAACCTGAATCTAGTAAACGTAAAAGCCATGCCAAGTGAAACAGTTAAGTCACAAACATACTGAAGTCAGGAAAATACATGAGAAAGTGGAGAATACTGAGTGCTCTGGGTCACTGACTCACTGTACGTCAACAGCTAAATGCAATGCTCAGGGCAACTTAGGTACCAGCAGGAAGAAGAAGAAACAGCAGGAGAAGCTGATCTTAAAAACTGGTAATCAGAACAGCAAAATGGAAAACAATCAGCCAGTAGCTGATGTTTTACAGGAAAGTATTCACAGGAGGTTGAAAGTTTGGCAATGCAAGTAAGCCACAATGGAACATGATAAATGAGATGACCTATCACAGGAGTATACATTACTTTAGGCAACTAAAGAGCAATATTAACTATTCTTTGTTGGACTGTTGTTGATGGCAGCAGTGGCCCATCTGGAGTGGCTGCTGTGAAGATGCTGGCTGCAGCAGAGGAGGTGCAGCCAGGGCTGTATGCTCCATGAAGCCAGCAGGGACAGGAAGAGGCAGGATCCCTGCCCCCTACTGAGTTGGTGGGGTGGGTGCCCCGCACTTCTGGGGGCAGCTGCAGCTGCCCAGTCATGGCTCCAGACCCAGGCATTCCCTGCATTTAGGGAACCTGGGAAGCCCCTCCTGCCCCTGCAGACTTAGAAGTGCCTGCTCCCACTCTCCGGCCTCTCCCTACTCCTAGTGTCTGCTCCAGGGTGGAGCAAAGTTGTGGCCGAGCCCAGACACTCACAACCAAGCTGGGTGTGTGCATGATCAGGGTAGTGCTGATACAGCAGCCCCCCGCTGCCTCAGCCCCCTCCAGACTTTAAGTGCCAATGAGCAAAGAATGGAGGCCAGTGGGGCTGAGGGCAGCGCAGTGCAGGCCTGCAGGTGCCTCTTGGCATGAACAGCCAAGGTGCCATGGAAGACATGTTGATGACAGCAGGAGGCAGACAGATTCCTAGGCGGAAAGGGGCGGGTCCCTGGTGAAACCCCTCCTTCAAGCCAGGAAAGGCCTGAAGCCTGGGGACCAGACTGCCAGTTCCAGGTCCAGGCCAACCCATGGCTGCCCATGGATCAATCAGCACACACTTTCTTCCTTCTGAAGCCCATAAAAACCCCAGACTCAAACAGACTCACACAGACATGGGGACTACCACCTGCAGAAAGGAGCTACCACTCTGGGTCTTCTATTTGTGGAGAGCTGGACATTCGTCAGGATGACCTGCCTGCAGAAAGGAGCTACTGCTCTGGGTCTCCTATCTGCTGAGAGTTGGACACTTGTCAGGATGACCTGCCTGCAGAAAGGAGCTACCACTCTGGGTCTCCTGAGAGCTGTTCTGTTGCTTAATAAGGCTCCTCTCCATCCTGCTCATCCTCCAGTTGTCCATGTACCTCATTCTTCCTGAATGTGGGACAAGAACTTGAGACCCAACAAATGGCAAGACTGAAAGAGCTGTAACACAGAGCTTAAACCCCTGCCCCTCATTCGCCATGTTGCGAGCACCAGAAAAAAAGAAGAGCTGTGGCCCTTCAGGGAGCCCAGACCTAGGGACTCCCTGAGCCAGGGCTGTGACTCCCTCTTCGGGGCTCTGTGATTTCTGGTGTCTCCAAGTTTCTGGGCACCACCACATTCCCCTTGTCCAGACATGGGTGCCCACAGCAGAAGCCACTTGCAGTGCATCTTATCCAGCCACAGGTTTGCACAGAGCCGGCATCTGTGACAGTACCTGGAGCTGCCTGCCCCACTGCAGCAGTCAGTGTACCTGGCTGTGTGCAATGGCTGGACCCTGGGCTCACTCACACACCCCTCATCATTTGGCGTCTGGCTCACCCTTGGCATGTGTGGGACCCAGGCTGGTAGCATGAGCTGAGCACAGCCTGCCAGGCTGAGTGGGCAGAATGAGCCCAGCAGGTCTGAACAAAACTCAAGCAAAGGTGCCACTGGCCACAAAGGTTTCCAGCTGGAAAAGTGACACCCAAAGGATCCTGTGACATTGTCACAATTATGGTTGCCAGTAAGTGCTAACACAATTCTCTGAATTGACAAACTCATTTGGATCTCTGACTGAGGAAATTAGTTTCACTACATGATACTTTTTTTATGGATGGTAAATCTGTGTCTTTCCTTTTCAGATGAGACAAATGCTGCTTTCCCATTTAACACACTCACAGATAGGCACAGAAAAGTTGTAGTTTTAAAGTATAATATTATTTTGAAATATTGATTAGGATAACAGATTCACGTACATCCTTACTGTGACCAATTTTAAATAAAAAACTTCCATCTACAAAAACTTGAGGAAATATTAACATTGTTCATGCAACTCTAAAAGGTACTACCTCTGTTTCAAGATAATTAGAAAGAAATTGCCTCAATAACTCAGAAACTCATCATTAAGAAACCCAAGCTTGACTACTACTTTTATTTTAGTATACTCATATTCAGATGTTTTTATTCTCTTGAATTGTTGGATTCCTTGCCATCTAAAACAATCATTTGAAATGATTACTATAATTTCATTATCTTTAAAATTCTCAAGTTCACACACTGAGATGTCAAGCTTATTTTTTTTTTTCAGGTGAAAAGAAAAGCACCTATAAAATAACACCTGTAGTAAGCATCCAGATAAAGCTTTAGAACCACCTCAAAAAACTCTGAGCAGCTGCAGGATTGTTCTGGTGGCAGGAGGTCTTGAGGGCCAATAGGAGTCCTGTCATGGAACCCTCTCCTGGCCCCTGATCCCATCCTCTTTCTTTTTTATTTTGAGATGGATTTTTGCTCTTGTTGCCCAGGCTGGAGTGTAATGGTGCAATCTCAGCTCACTGCAACCTCCACCTCCCATGTTCAAGTGATTCTCCTGCCTCAGTCTCCCAAGTAGCTGGGATTACAGGCACGCTCCACCACTCCCAGAAAATTTTTTATATTTAGTAGAGATGGGGTTTCACCATGTTCATCAGGCTGGTCTCAAATTCCTGACCTCAGGTGATCCACCCACTTCAGCCTCCCAAAGTGCTGGGATTACAGGCGTGAGCCACTGTGCCTGGCCCCATCCTCTCAATGGGAACCTTAGCCTTACAAGAGTTGCAGTTTGACCTAGAGTCTGTGCCAGTTAGTGGAACAGATGTATTCTACACTTGCAGCACCAGGGAGTAGGGATCTTGCCCATCCTCAACTCTGTGAATGTTTGCATTTTCTTCTCCAATATCTCAGACCCCAAGCTATAAGGTGCATCTGAAACAATTGCTGAACTGCTGAAAGGCGAGACTCTTTTGACTAGCCCAAAGAGGGTAGACAATAATATTTTTAAAGAACCAGTAGAATGGTTACTATTCTTCATTACAGTGGTATATTTTCAAAATGTAGGTTCTCAATCTAATATTCCAGAAAGTATTCTCTTGGCTTCTGTTCACTGCAGAATAAATGCATCAGTGTTGAAAAGGAAGTCTTACTGTATTAGTTCATTTTCACACTGCTATAAAGACATACCCAAGTGTGATGGTTAATAGGGAGTGTCAACTTGATTGGATTGAGGGATACAAAGTATTTATCCTGGCTGTGTCTGTGTGGGTGTTGCCAAAAGAGAATAACATTTGAGTCAGTGGGCTGGGGAAGGCAGATCCACCCTTAATCTGGTGGGCACAATCTAATTAGCTTCCAGTGAACAAAAAGCAGGCAGAAAAACATGAAAAAGAGAGACCGGCCTAGCCTCCTGCACTGGATGCTTCCTGCCCTCAAATATCAGACTCCAAGTTCTTCAGTTTGGAGACTGAGACTGGCTCTCCTTGCTCCTCAGCTTGCAGACAGTGTGACCTTGTGATCATGTAAGTTAATACTTAACAAACTCTCATATACATGTGTGTATACACACACATACACACACACA
The DNA here is from genome assembly GCF_000001405.40 of Homo sapiens. Classification (NCBI taxonomy): domain Eukaryota; kingdom Metazoa; phylum Chordata; class Mammalia; order Primates; family Hominidae; genus Homo; species Homo sapiens. Next base: position 109,019,361 of record NC_000004.12, read on the forward strand.
CACACACACACACACATATATATATATATATATATATATTTATATGTGTATCCTATTAGTTCTGTCCCAGACCCCAACATACCAAGACTGGGTAATTTATAAAGAAAAAAAGTTTAATCAGCTCACAGTTCCACATAGCTGGGGAGGCCTCAGGAAACTTACAATCATGGTAGAAGGGGAAGCAGGCACGTCTTACATGGTGGCAGCCGAGAGAGTGAGCAAGAGCAGGGAAAACCGCCTTATAAAACCATTGGGTCTCAACTCATTCACTATCTTGAGAACAGCACTAGGGAAACTGCCCCCATAATGCAGTTACCTCTCACCTGGTCCCTCCCTTGACACGTGGGGATTATGGGGATTACAACTGGAGATGAGACTTGGGTGGGGATACAGAGCCAAACCATATAATGCACACTCAATGGAATTTTATTCAGATAATAAAGATAAAACTGAGGCAGTCAAAGGCCAGAGGAGGCTATGTATACACCTACCAATATAAAAGAGAAGCACGAAAGTTCCATATTGACGAAAAATTACTTTCTAGTTTGATTTGGTCTCCATATCCAATTAACTTGAAAATATTATATCAAATTACTTCGTAAATTATGCTCTGTAAGTACTGCATGGAGGTTTAAAATAGGTTATATATCTGATTCCAACACTTCATTTCATTCAAATTTAGATAAAGTATCAACTAATTTTTAAAACTAATTATATGCAAATGATATACTAGAGAAGCAATTGAAAACATAAAGCATTATGGATTATGTGTATTAATTTTAAAATGGCTTTGCAAAGACTGCATAATCTCCCAATGTCTATAAGCTGCTCTTGCCAAGAACTCTTATACACTTGACTGAGATAAACATTATTAATAATTTATATTACCTGTTGTGCTATCCTACAGGATAGATATTAATAATTCTGCACCTTAGCTACAGTCAACTAATATTACTTAGATAAGAATTTTTCAATTTAAGGTTTTCTTTTGGAAAACAATTAATTCTCAATGGTTTTAATGCTGAAAAGCAAAAGCCATATTCTACTCCAGAGGAAAATAAGTGGTTCATCTAAAACCTGGTGGATATTTCTTTTTTAAAAAATTTGAAAGAGACAGAGAGCAAGAATGAGCATGGAGATTATTATGGGGGGGGGGGGGTTCAACATAAAAAACAAGATTCAAAACTTGGAAGATTTCTTCCATGATATTTGCTTTTCATAAATATATAATTGTACTTAAAAATCTACTCATGTTTAAACAGGTTGACAAGTTGTCACATTAATTTTAAAATATTATATTTTCTAACACAATACCATATTTATTTTTTCTCTCTTATAACTAACATGTTCATATGTGGAACATAAGTAAAAAATTTTATCACATGCATTTTTGCTATAAAAATTTCACATACAGAACACACAAAAAATAAAGACTCATTCATTAATTTGCATTATTAAATTTTATTGGATACCTAATATTCCACTGAGGTTTATTCAGATTTTTACTATTATAAATAATGTTTATGTCTTTGTATATACAGATGGTCCTTAATTTATGATGGTTCAGCTTACAACTTTTTGACTTTCACAATGGTGCAAGAGCATTCCATAGAAGCTTTTGAATTTTGCTCTTTTCCCAGGTTAGGGATACATGGTGCAATACTCTCTCGATGTTGGGCAGCAGCCGCATGCCGCAGCTCCCAGTCAGCCACTCAGTCACATAGGTAAACAACCAATACTCTACTGTGTACTGTGTTGTTGGCATTTTTTGGATATGGTGTTTTGTATTTTTATGTCATATCATGTCTGCGGAATGCTCATCTGTGTCTCCTGTTTCTGGTGAGAAGAAGAGGAAGGCAATTACTCTTGAGATGAAACTCAAGATAACTGCCCAGTATGAAGGCACAAGCCAGTAATGGCCATTGCAAGAGAGTTAGAACTTTCACTGTTGCGGGAAGTCAGGGACCCCAAACAGAGGGACTGGCTGGAGCAGCGGCAGAGGAACATAAATTGTGAAGATTTCATGGACATTTATCACTTCCCTAATAATACTCTAATAATTTCTTATGCCTGTCTTACTTTAATCTCTTAATCCTGTTATCTCTGTAAGCTGAGGATGTACGTCACCTCAGGATCCTGTGATGACTGCATTAACCGTACAAATTGATTGTAAAACATGTGTTTGAACAATATGAAATCAGTGCACCTTGAAAATGAACAGAATAATAGTAATTTTAAGGAATAAGGGAAGACAACCATAAGGTCTGACTGCCTGTGGGGTCGGGCAAAAAGAGCCATATTTTTCTTCTTGCAGAGAGCCTATAAATGGATGTGCAAGTAGAAGAGATATCACCAAATTCTTTTCCTAGCAAGGAATATAATATTAAGACCCTAGGAAAAGAATTGCATTCCTGGGGGCAGGTCTATAAACCACCGCTCTGGGAGTGTCTGTCCTATGCGGTTGAGATAAGGACTGAGATACACCCTGGTCTCCTGCAGTACCCTCAGGCTTACTAGGATTGGGAAACCCCAGCCCTGGTAAATTTGAGGTGAGACCGGTTCTCTGCTCTCGAACCCTGTTTTCTGTTTATCAAGACAATACGTGCACTGCTGAACATAGACCCTTATCAGGAGTTTCTGATTTTGCCCTGGTCCTGTTTCCTCAGAAACATGTGATCTTCACTCTGCCTTTTGCCCCTTGAAGCATGTGATCTTTGTGACCTACTCCCTGTTCGTACACCCCCTCCCCTTTTGAAATCCCTAATAAAAACTTGCTGGTTTTACAGCTCAGGTGGGCATCACGGACCTGCCGATATGTGATGTTGCCCCTGGCGGCCCAGCTGTAAAATTCCTCTCTTTGTGCTCTTTCTCTTTATTTCTCAGACTGGCTGACACTTAGGGAAAATAGAAAGAACCTACACTGAAATATTGGGGGCGGGTTCCCCCGATATTTCACGATCCATGATATCAACCATCTTAAAGGATAAGATGTGAATCAGTGAGGCAGTGGAATCATCAGCATTGGTTAAATCCATTATCATCACAAAGAGAAGAGGTGGGCTGCTTGATAACATGGAAAAATTACTTGTCATGTGGATGGAAAACCAGATACAGAGATGCATACCGCTTAGCCTACTGATGACTTAGGCTAGGGTAAGAAGTGTGTTCTATAAGTTCAAAGAGTACACCAATGATCCTACATATATACAAATGTTTATAGCAAGACATGGCCAGTTCCAACACTTGAAAATGCATCATAATTTTCATAATATGAAGGTCTGTGGTGAGGCAGCAAGTCCTGATATTGAAGGTAACAAAGCTTTTGGGAAGAGCCACATAGGGTAAGTGTGGATGAGAAGTATTTACCAGCACAAATATTTAAAGTCAATGAAATGAGCTTATTCTGAAAGTATACACCAGAGCATACATACATTCACCACGAGTCCAATGCCAGGGTCTACGGCATTCAAAGGCTGTGTAACACTGCTTTGGGGTGTTACAGGAAAGGCTTTAATTTAGGGTGGAAATGTTGCTTTGGGGTGGAAATGTTGCAGGATTCAAATTAAAGCCTTTCCTAATCAACCACTCAGAGAACCCAAGAGCATTCAAGAATGTGAGCACCATACACTTCCTGTTTATATCACCATAACGAAAAAGCCTGGATATCAGCATTGTTTGAAGACTGGTTTTTGAACTGTTTTATTCCACAGCAAGAAAATATTGTGGGCAAAAACAACATTCCATTCAAGATTCTTCTAATCTTAGGCAATACTCCAGGGCTTCCACAGCATATCAGTGACATGCATCTTGATGTAAATGTTGTGAATCTGCTGCTGAACACAAATGCTTTCATTCAACCAATGGACCAAGGCACAAGAGCTGTGTTCAAAGTATACTGATATGCCAGACATTTGTGCAGGCTGTTGGAGTGACTAAATCTGGCTGCATTCTAAATTCTATCCAAAACATCACCACAACAAGGGAAGAAGTCACACAGCAATGCATGAACGGCATTTGGAAGAAAGTTTTGAAGACATATGTGAACACATCCAAAGGCTTTAACAAAGATTCTGCTGTTGATTAAATAGTAACAAGATACCAGTGCTTAGGAAATCACTAGAATTGGACATTGATAAAGAGAAAATTTATGAGCTTGTTGGCATTGAGGCTGAAGAACTTTCCAACGAGGAGCTAATTGAACTGGAGGAAGAAAGAAGTAAAGAAGTTGAGGCAGAGAAAGCAGAAGTTATGTCCAAGGCACCAAGAATGTTCACAGCAAAGAAACTGGCAGAAATATTTGCTACTACTATTAGCAATGGCTTTTGGAAATTACAGAAATGGATGTCAATTACAAGAGATTCACAAGCGCTGATGGCAGATACAGGATGCTCTTGCTTGCAATAAAGAGAAATATATAATGAAAAGAAGAAACAAACCATACAGTCAAAACTTGCTGTCTTCCAGAAGAACACTGTGCCTGCTAAACCATCAACAAGTGTAATGCCCTTCTACTCGCTATTCTCAAGCCTCTCAGAAGAGAGAGATTGATAACCCTGTTGCTGCAAGATGTCCATCATCCAGCAATTATTTTTAGTTCAATGCTTCAGACATTCTTCAGGCCTAGCGGGCATTCTTCTGTGTACGTTATTTCATGGTGAGTACCCATACAACTATCCTGTTTTTCACTTTCAGTACAGTATTCAATAAATTACATGAGATAGCCAATACTTTATTATAAAATAGGCTTTGTGTTAGATGATTTTGTCCTACTGTAGGCTAATGTAAGTGTTCTGAGAACATTTAAAGTAAGCTAGGCTAAGCTATGATGGGCAGTAGGTTAGGTGTATTAAATGCATTTTCTACTTACAACATTTTCAACTTACTCTGGATTTATTGGGACATACATAACCCCATCATAAATTAAGGAGCATCTGTAAATATCTGACTATTTCTTTATAACACTAAAAATGCAGTGTTATTCCAATTATCAACTTTATATATATTTATATATTATGCTTATTTATACTGTAGTATACAAAATACAGATTATATATTTTCTAGGACATAATTTTTGTGTATATACATATTTATTCAGACATATGGTTATAAATCTATCTAAAAAAAGAAAGAGAAGGAAAAGAAAATAAGAGATGAAGAGGGAGAGAGGAAGAAAGAAAACATGTACAAAAATAGTGGTTCCCTACGGATGATAGGATTATAAGTAAATATTTTTATTATTTAAGTTTTTTATGCTTCTCTAAATTTTACTAGCCCCATCTCATGATTACAAAAATATATTGTCACATGATAACTAATTAACTGCAGAAAACTTTTAAACCCTTAATTAAGTTGTTAATTTTTTTCCATATTAGTCATTTACTCAAAGATCTAGGTCAATGATTTTTGAATTCGAGTTTCTTTCTTCCAATTCAGGGTGTTTTTAATTACTTGGAAGAATGTTGCAAAATGCTTAAGATATGCTCTCAAAAATTCAGTAAGTAAGGGTTTTAAATCTACCTTTCTGTATGCCACATATCACTTTTGGAAGTAGGAATAAAGAAAGGGGCAGAAGAGTTATACAGTTAAACACCAGCGAGAAGAGGTCATGACTCCACATCAACTGGGGATCCCTGCTAGGCATAGAGGCCCTTGGATCCTTTGCTGTTTTGCAAACCAAAATATCTGGGTTGTAATTTAACTGCATTATTTTATGGAGTTGTATAAATAACTTACACTTTTGACTATAAATGTTTGTCAAGCTTCTAAAACATCTTGCTTATCCAAGCCTTTTCACCAGCTGGCATGGAATCAGGATTGGCAATCAAGGTGTAAGTAAATGATCAGTTTTACAGACATGTTTAGTAGGATACAATAAACATATATGAAGTACCTCTGAAAAGAGACCTGCTCAGCTTCCATTGCTTTAAAAACACATACCTAGGCAATTTTTACTGCCCTACCAATTTTTATTACACTGTATATATTGAGTAATTTGGTTTCTGCTATGTTTAATAACATTCTTAATGTGTGCTATGTTGATTGTTCCAGATAAATACTGGAAGCCAATTTATAAACATCTTTCAGTCTGATTAAATTTATATGTGCCCAATTCTGATTTTCTAAATATTGTGCACAAAGACAGACTTGACAATGCTCTCTGCAGCTGTCCTAGATGTTTCACATTAATAAATGCATGCTAGCAGATTTCTAACACCCAGAGAGTCAATTAATTTATAATGCATGAGTCACATCATGCTTACTGCTTCACTAAAGCAGAATCCTAAAAATGAAGCCTGTTTTAAAATGAGGGAGGAGAGGCTCTGCAAGCTGACAAGCTTATGTTCTTGAGGGACCCAGATGTTTGTGGCTGAATCGTAATAGCTACCACTTACTGACCACTACACAACACCAAGAGTTTTACAAATGTCATCTCTCTTTGTTACAATAACCCTGCAAATTAGGGGTCATTTCTACCATTTTGCAGTTGAACAAACCAAGTTTCAGAGAGGTTAAATAACGTTTCCTTAGTCAAACAGCTTCTAAAAGGGGAAGTTCAAACTATGAACATGGGTTTATTTGACTTGGACCCTTTTGAGCTCTCACTTGTGTCATGCTGGCTGCCCATGGGCTTGGGCAAGATTACCCCGAGAAAGAAAGTAGCAGTCATTCTTAGCCCTCTTAGGAACTGGATAAAAGCTATAGCTGCAGTGGTTAGAAATATCCACATATAAAACACTTTGCACACACACACACACACACACACACACACACACACATATACTCTTAAATTAGTTCGCGGGTTCTCTAGGAAATAATTCACCTGGGTTAAGAACCCCTGACTAGGGGTAATGTAATGTAATGTAAATATTTCAAGAGTAGGAGAGGAAAAGTGTTCCAAAATGGAAACTGAGGATAAAAAAAACCTAAAAACAATGACAACAAAATTAGAGTTACAGAAATCAAGATTGGAGAGAATTTCAAGAAGGCAAATTGATTAAAACAAGGAGTCCATTGCATTTAACAAGTAGAAAGTTGGAATTTGTATTGTAATTGATTAAGCAGTGAGGTGAGGAAATTAAGAAAAGAATAAGCTCCGTAGATGGCAAGCAGGCGTTATATGAAGTGTGAACTCTGGTTATTAACGACTGCCTGGAATAACATGTTTAAAGGTTCAGAGGCTGGTTATAGACTTGGGAAAAGGGTGTGGGATTGATAGGGAATGTCTACAGACAGCAACAGTGGAAAACATGTGTGCCGACGATTTGCTAGCCCAAGTAGACACCTCTTTTTAGTAACTGTGCATGAAGAAAAGAAATAGGAGAGTAGCTAAAAGGCATATAGGGTTAAGGAAAATTTTTCTTGCTTGTTTTTGTGGTAAGATGGGAGGTACTTGAAAATGTTTACAAACGGACAGGACATAGAGAAAAGAAATGGCTTGCAGAGCAGTATCAGCATGCAAGAGAACACAAAAGGAAGTGGAGTCAGAGAAGAAGAATGCGGAGAAAGAACACCATCTTATATAAGATGAGAAGAAAGAAAGTGAGAATAAATACAGATCAATTTGCTGTACAGAGGCAGAAAATGGATGTATTCCATTCCTTAAATCTCAGAGGACTCTGAAATAGAAGTCTGCTAGGGATGGGGCAGATGTGAGAGGAATAAAATTGATTATTTATTCATTCACATAATATTTGTTGAGTACCTACAGTGTGCAGGCATTCTTCAGGTACTAGGACTATAATAAATATGGTAGCTAAAACAAAGCCCCGCTATCACTTTTGTGGGAGAAGCAGGCTTTAAGAGAATGTTTATGAATAATGTGGCAGACAGCGATAAGGACTCAGCAGGAAAGTACATGAGGATAAGGAGGCTAGAGAACAATTCAATGGGAGGGCGCTATTTTACAGGGTGGTCATGGGGGGGCCTTGAATGGAAAAAAGGAGGAAAAACAAACAGCAAGTGGTAATGCTCTGTAAGATGGAGGTGTGCTTAGCGTGTCCAGCAACTGACAGTGCGTCTGGACTACAGTGAGTGAGGAAAAAGAGTAAGGAGGAAAGTTACAGAGCAGGAGGGAGGAGATCAGAGAGACTTTGCAGGTCATGATAAGAACTTGGCTTTTAATCAGGATGAAATAGAAAGCCATGGCGAGGAGGTTCTGCACAGAGAAAGGACACAATCTGAATTATATTTGAAAAGGATCATGTCCACTATCGGGAAAAGGCAGTAGAAAGGCAGGGGTGTACAGATGGAGAGATGTTAGGAGGCTTTTGTAGCATTCTAAGTGAAAGATAAAGGATGGGATGGGCCAGGGTAATAGCAACCAAGGAGGTAAAAAGTGGTCAGTTTCTGGTTCAAGACTTGCAACTAGATTGAATGTGGGGTGTGAGAAAAAAGAGCAGTAAAAAATGACTCCAAAGGTTGACCAGAGCAATTAGAGCAGTGGAGCTGCTCTTTAGTGATGTGTGGAAGATCTGGAAGAGGAGCAGCTTTGGAGAGTAAGGGTGGAATTCCAGCATTTGGTTTTGAACATGCTAAATTTGAGATCTCTAGGAGACATCCATGTGCAAACGTTGAATAGATAGTTGGATATGCAAGTCCAAAATTCTGAGAGTTCAGACTGGAGATATACATTTGGGAGACTTTGACACATAGATAATAGTTAAAGCCATGAGATTATATGAGATCATCTAATGAGGCAATGTAAATAAGGAAGAAGAAAGGTCCAAGTTCTGAGCCATCAGGCATTTCAAAATTCATTTATTTATTCATTCATTCATTCACTGAGACAGAGTCTCACTTTGTCACCCAGGCTGGAGTGCAGTGGTGCAATCAGAGCTCATTGCAGTCTCACACTCCTCCCACTTCAGTCTCCCCAGTAGCTAGGACTACAGCCACGTACCACCACACTCAGCTAATTTTCTATTTTTTTGTAGAGACAGGTTCTTGCTATGCTTCCCAGGCTGGTCTTGAACTCCTGGGCTCAAGTAATCCTCCTGTCTTGGCCTCCCAGTGTGCTGGGATTACAAGCATGAGCCACCATGCCCTGCCCATTCCAACATGTAGAAATCATGAAGAAGAAAAAGGGGCCAGGCCCAGTGGCTCATGTCTGTAATCCCAGCACTTTGGGAGGCAAAGGCAGGCAGATCACAAGGTCAAGTGATCAAGACCATCCTGGCCAACAAGGGTGAAACCTCATCTCTACTAAAAATACAAAAATTAGCTGGGCATGGTGGCATGCACCTGCAGTCCCAGCTACTTGGGAGGCTGAGGCAGGAGAATTACTTGAACCCAGGAGGCGGAGGTTGCAGGGGGCCGAGATTGTACCACTGCACTCCAGCCTGGCGACAGAGCGGGACTCCATCTCAAAAAAAAGAAAAAAAGAAAAAGAAAAGAAAAGAAAGAAAAAGGACTAGCTAGCAAGGGAGGAGTGGTGAGTAAGGTAGGAGGAGCACCTTGAAAGAGTGATAAGAACAAGGAGATAAACAGAGAAAGTGTTTCAAGAAGACACCAATTCACTGTGTTGAATGTGGTCCAGCAAAGTTGGAACTGAATTCTGACCACTAAATTTGTCATAATAAAGGTAACCAGTGCCCTTAAGAAGAATGTTTTCAGTACAGTGGTAGAGATGGAGGCCATGTTAGATTAGAGAGAGAGTGGGAAAACAATATTTGATGAGTGTGGGCAACTCTTTCCAGAGTTTCATTGTAAAAGGGAGTGGGAGCTATAAAGAAATGGAACAGCATCTGGGAAACATATGGGGTCAAGGAAGTTTCATTTTGAGGACAAAAGATATTATGGCATAATTCTATGCTAATGAAATTATCCAAAAGAGAGGAAAAACCAATGATACAGGAGGGAGGCAATACCTAAGTTTTAAGTTGCACACCATTCTGAGTAGTGGGATGAAATCTCATGCCATCCCACTCCATCCCGCCCAATACATGAATCACCTCTTTGTCTAATGTATCTATGCTGTATATGCCACCTGCAGAAGGTCAATAGTAGCCTAACGCTACGTCAACAATGCCCACGTCATTCACCTCACTTCCTCTCACCATGTAGGCATTTTGTCATCTCACATCATCACAGGAAGGGCGAGTACAGCACAGTAAAATATGTTGAGAGACCAAATTTATATAACTTTTATGGTAGTATATAGTTATAATTGTTCTATTTTATTATTGTTGTTGTTCATCTCTTACTGTAGCTAATTTATAAGTTAGACTTTATATAGGTGTATGTGTGTGGTATATGTGTATACATATTTGTAGGAAGAAACATATACGTATAGGATTTGGTGCTATCCGCAGTTTGAGGCATCCACTGAGGGTTTTGGAACATATCGCCTTGGACAAGAAGGAACTACTATGTAAAAATAATATGGATAATATTGTCTATATTTATTCAATAAGAACTCAAAAACTCAGAAATACAGAGTACTCATACAAATTTGTAATTTCCTGCCTACAATATTCTTAATTTCCTTATAATTCTTAGATATTATTGTCTTTATATATTATTCATGATGAGCTATTACACAATTTACTCTGAAAACAGGAAATCAGAGGCATCCAGGCACCTCATAGATAAAGAACCTAAATCTATTCCCTGCTTTAAATATTTTCCTTGCATAGCTGATACCTGCTACGGACGTTAATACACCCTTTCTCCACACCTCCTGCTCCTCAGAGTTCGGATCCTCTATCCTTTACTTCCTCAGGATGAAAATAAATGGCCAAGCCTCATGGACAGGCCAACTGAGACACAAGCAGCAGAAGGCAGCTCAGTGTATCACATCCCTCCAGAGAGGTGGTGCCTGGGTCATCATTTCACGGAAGTCAACAAGATAGGCTATGAAAGAAATAGCAACAGAAGGAAGCAGCTGCTGCCTGACTCCCTGCCCCTTCTGGTCTTTAGAATTCATGAATCCCCACACCTGAACTATGGAGAGAGGCAGCTGCCCCATCATTCCCATCCTACACCCACCATTGGGCACACTTTGGCTCAGCACTGGCCACAGAGTTCAAGTGGAATAGCCTCTAGTGCATCTCCAGAGAGGACAGGCAGGGGCAAGGAATGAGCTGGGCTTTGGGTGACAGGTCTAGGAGGAAGGGAACCACCAAGGACCCACAGCACGAACTCAGTAGTTGTGAAGACAAAAGAGAATTATATCTGTGAAAGACCCTTGAATAAGTGACTAATGTAGTGAATTACTGATGTTGCAAAGATTCAGCCAAGATTCATGTAGACTCTCTGGTCTGTATGGGAACTTTGAGGTAGGTCAAAGGCCTGTGCAGTCATTCCTCATATCAACATGGACATATTAAAGTCAGGCTTCCAGGTGTACCACAATGCAATGCCTGTTAAAAATTTTTAAAAGGGTAAAACTTCATTTTGTTGTTGTTGTTGTTGTTTTGGGTCTCGCTTTGTCACCCAAGCTGGAGTGCAGTGGCACCATCACAGCTCACTGCAACCTCCATCTCCTTGGCTCAAGCGATCCTCCCACCTCAGCCTCCCGAGTAGCTGGGTCTACATGCCTGGCTAACGTTTTGTATTTGTTTGTAGAGACAGAGTTTCGCCATATTGCCCAGGCTGGTCTTGAACTGGACTCAAAGTGATCCACCTACCTCAGCCTCCCAAAGTGTTGGGATTATAGGGATGAGCCACTGTGCCTGGCCAAAACTCCTTTATGCCGTGTGTTTCAGGATAACTACTATGCAGACCTGTTTTCTTATGCCACACAACTTTCAATAATTATATGCCATATATTAAAGTGTTACAATACCTGTCGCCCAGGCTGGAGTGCAGTGGCGCGATCTCGGCTCACTGCAAGCTCCACCTCCCGGGTCCACGCCATTCTCTCGCCTCAGCCTTGTGAGTAGCTGGGACTACAGGCGCCTGCCACCGCGCCCGGCTAATTTTGTTTTTTGTATTTTTAGTAGAGACGGGGTTTCACCGTGTTAGCCAGGATGGTCTCGATCTTCTGACCTCGTGATCCGCCCGCCTCGGCCTCCCAAAGTGCTAGGATTACAGGCGTGAGCCACCGCGCCAGGCCATGTTACAATACTTTTTTTAAAAAAAAAGAATTTACGCAAATCACCATTCCTACATTTTCTGTAGCGAGACCAAATAAACGTCACCCACCAGGTCACAAAACCTTAAGGATGCCAGCAGCTGGGTAAGCTGAGTGCTGCTGAAATGCCAGAGGGAGAACAATGGCACTTGGAGCACTCAGGCAGTTCCAGCGAGATGTACTGCCCACATTTTAAAGCTTTACTTTTACTCCATCAAAGAAAATGACATCTCATTTTGACCAAATCAAGGCATAGTTAGACCTGGCAGTCAAAACCCTTAGCTCCAGCCTGTGTAGAGGCCCTTAGCCCCATGACCTTCCTCCAATTGCTATAAGCTCCTGACTCCTAGCACACTCTTGTTCCTGCTATCCTCACAACCTGGTGTGTCCTCCCACTCATTCACTTCTCAAAATCCCATCCATGCTCTCAGCTTTCACCTCTTTCCAAAGCTTTGTCTGCTTTCCTATAGCAGATGGGAAGTTTATTTCTTCCAAATATACACAGATCATTGTCTCAATTCATTTATAGCATTACATTCTGCCTTAAAATATAGGTATTGATAGCTTATCTCTTCTATTAAACTGCATGCTCCTTGAACAGCTAACACTTATGGTGTTGTTACAATATGCCAGGTACTGTGATGTTGGTTTTGCAGACATCAGCAGGTACCATTATCCACCCCATTTTACAGCTGTGGAAACCGAGACCAGGAAATGTTGAGTGACTTGTCTAAGATCACACCACTAGTAAATGGAAATACTGAGACATACATTTGCGTCTGCCAGATTCCTGAGCCTAGGTTTTTAACTATGATGTTACACCACATAGTCCTTCCACAGTGGAAGGCATGCCAAAAACATCTGACTCTTTAAAAATTCATTCTTATATGAATTTTTATTCAACCTACATTTATTAAGCCAGGCACTGCAGTGATGCTAGAGAAACATGGAAAAATAAGTCCTAAACTCTTCAACAGGGGAACTTATGGTCACAAATAACACAAAGAGGTTAGTGCACTTTAAGATTCCCATACTTTATTCTCATACTTTCCAAGCAATTGGAAAATCTTTTGACAGAGGCTCAAGTTGTGAAAACTAGTTAAAGTCCTCACTTCGCACTGCAATAAAATGTTTTATAATGAGAAATCAACCACCTTAATTTATTTTAACAGATAACATTATGCAATTAGCGATGCTGAGATTAAATCAGATACTGTAATGTTATAACCAAGAGTATCTGAATACATTTCTTTTATAGCATAGATGTTCTCCATTGAGACAGGAAATGTAGCTTAGCATTTTTAGAGCCACTGGCTAAATTACCTCTATTGATGAGGCTCGGCAGGTTCTTTCTGAACGATTCTAAATAACTGCTGAGGGATGAAAGAAAGTGTTCCACAGACTGTAGCCACAGCATGCTCGGAGTCTACTGGGGAGAGAATAAAGCACTTGCCCCATGCATGAATGGGTCTGCGTCCCGCCTGGAGCATGGCTGACTAGCCATCCCTGAAATTGTATAAATGAAAGGAAGTAGGCCAAGGTAGACATTTGTATTAATAATTGGTGTGCACAAGTAAATTAGGCTATCCCACCAGGTCCTCCATAAAGGATGGAAAGCCAGTATGAACCTTCAGAAATAAAGTCTGCTAAAGCAATCTTTTGAAAGCTTTTGACAAATTGCAAACCTCAGCCATTTGTTTTGTTTCATTGAAAGGAAAGTTCAGGGAAAAGTTTCAGTTCAGTTCACACACAACACATGTACAGATTCACATACACACAAAGAGTGTATAGGTGTATGAAGCATGAACCAGGACATGAGAGTTATGTAGCACTATCCTTATTCACAGAGGCAGTCAAGGGACCTGGTTGTGCCATTAGGCATGGGAGCATTTTTCACCAATGTCAGAAGGCAGGCACATAACAGTTCCGGGCTCCTTTAGCTTCCAGGTATCGTGCCCCACATCAACAATCCACAGCACAATGAAATCTGGCCCCTTGTTTGCACAGTCATGTTGCGATAGCAGGAACAGTGAAAGGCAGTCCCCATCAGAGGAGAGAGGTCAAGTAATAAAACCAAGTTATGGCTCAGATTTTTCACATTTTGAAAGGAAACAAAACATTTGGAACCTCTTTGCTTTTGCGGTCCTGAGGAATGGAATTTTAACCTGCCTATTTTTTGGTGTAGGAAATTTCCAGGTTTCTAAATTGTCTTCAACATCTCCCTTTCATGAAGAGCACATAGCAGGTAAAGAATAATGAGAAATATTAGTTCATTTAATAATGCTATAAAATCTAATCTTTGCAGGGAAAAAAAAAGCTAATTTATTTTGACAGTAATATCTTTTACACCAAACATCATCAATCTTATATCATTACATAATAAATTTTTATTCTTTCACTTGCACAAACATTAACAATAATAATCCAAAAGGAATAATAAAATCAAAGTTAATAAATAATGGTGAATTATTTAAATATTTTAATTAAAAAATAGATTCCCAAACTTCCTCTCAATTGTATTGACACTTAAATTAAAGCAAAACATAAGCAATTAAAGACTAACAAAGTTTTGAGGTTTAACTCGAGTAATTAAAGAGTAATATTATAGTACTTAAAGAATAGAAAATAGATTCCCTTGATAGTGCTATTCCATTCCTTAACCACACAAATATTTAAATAACAAAAATGTAGTAGTATTGAAACCTGAAAAACATCTTTACCTAAAAGTTCTCATTATTCTTAAGAAACTGAAAGCTCTGCATACAGAAACAGAATGCACATTCTCATTGATCTTGAGTGTCACTCAAGAAACACATTTGATATGGTTTTTGCCTTGATAATGAGGACACAATAAACTATGAAAAATGTCATTTCTGGAAAATTTGTTGGCTATAGTTCAGCAAGAAATGAATCTTTTTAACAGATATGGCATGATGACTTTGATGAATTGAACTTTTAAATATATGGAGCATTAGAAAAGATATGCCCTTAGAAATGAATTAATTTAGATACAACAGCATACTGTATACCATAATTCATTGTCTCCACGTTCATCACTGCAGAGTGGTTCTGTCCATGTGACAAGGTCCCTCTTCAAATTCCTATTTGGGCTTCACTTGAATTCATTAACTTAAAAAATGATGACCTAGCTTGGACCCAATCTCTAAGTTTTCTATTAACTCTTAACAATTCTATAAATTTAGTGTTTTATGCACTCTGAAACTTTACATGGTTTGAAGATAAAAATTTCAGGAAAATATCCTTCTGAAAGATTCTTTTTATCTACTTAGCAGAAAAGTTTCAGCTACAAGACAATTCCAACAAGACAAGTCAATATCTTGGTCAATTTCTATATATGCATCACTTTGAAAGTTGTTTAAAATAAATTAAAATCTTATAAATGCCAAATATTAAAATTTAATACTCCACTATGGGGTTTTGTATTTTGATGTTTAGACAGGGAACTGAAATCTTATATAAAGACACATATTCATATTACTGGGATTCATATGATGCCCTGATGGATAAAGTCAAACAACATTTATCTAATTTTGGTTATAGTTTAAAAGTAAGAAGTTTGAAGGCTTGTAATGTAGGATACCATTTTTGGTATCCTAAAGTATTTAAAAGCATACCCAGCATAGGGTGAGACAAGTTGAGAAAATATAGGTAACAGAAAAAGTATCCTTTTTCAAGAGATTTATCATATTGATTTTAGTAGTATGCTGCCTGCCATAGCTACTGTCAGCCAACAAAGGCACATCTGAAATGATGCTGACTTCCAGTCCCCAAGCAAGAAACCTTCTAATGTAAACCATCGATTAACTGTTACCAAACTTTTCCTAAAATGAATGCTTATATTGCCCATGGAGTCTAATTTACTGACAAAATAATAAGTGTATTATAAATCATTGAAAGTATTAAAGTATGTTACATCTTGGTAATCACAGTACTTAAGAGCAATAGTTTGAGCTCCTGTTAGTATAAAGAGAAAGGAGACAGATCAATTTCCAATAATAATTTATAAGAATAAAAACTTTCTATTTAAATTTACTTTTAACAGAACAGAAACCTAGAAATGACCGGGGTACTTTAGTTATTGGAATTTCTAGATAGTATTGGAAGTTCTAGAAACGAACAGGAATGAAAGAAATTTCCTACTTTTTAAGGATATTTTTTAATGACAAAATAAAAGCTTCTCCTTCTCAATGATGAATAGGAAGAGGTTTCCCAATCC
Source organism: Homo sapiens (assembly GCF_000001405.40). Lineage (NCBI taxonomy): Eukaryota > Metazoa > Chordata > Mammalia > Primates > Hominidae > Homo > Homo sapiens. The sequence goes on from NC_000004.12 coordinate 109,035,671, forward strand.
AAATTTATTTGCCTTGTGGTTTTCATTAAAATCTACACATAGGAAACTTCATATTATAGGAAATATACAATTTTTGTAGTGAATTCCTTATAAATTATGATATTTGTACAAGGTCAAGCAATTTTTCATTTTGTTTAAAATGTTCCAACAATCTAAAATTGCCACCAGTTTGTTTATGCTCTTCAAACTCTCTTCTCCTAAACTCTATTAATATCACCAAACTAAAGATTTTTATTTTATTTTATTTTTATTTTTATTTATTTATTTATGTTTCTGAGACAGAGTCTCACTCTGTCGCTCAGGCTGGAGTGCAGTGGCGTGATCTCGGCTCACTGCAAGCTACGCCTCCCAGGTTCATGCCATTCTCCTGCCTCAGTCTCCTGAGCAGCTGGGACTACAGGCGCCCGCCACCATGCCCAGCTACTTTTTGGTATTTTTAGTAGAGACAGGGTTTCACTGTGCTAGCCAGGATGGTCTCGATCTCCTGACCTCATGATCCGCCCACCTCAACCTCCCAAAGTGCTGGGATTACAGGCATGAGCTACCATGCCCGGCCCAAACTAAAGATTTAAAAAGGATTTTTTTTTCCCCTCTAAACAAGGGAGCTAATGCCTATGGGAAAATAACATTCTTAACAAATAAAACCCAGGGGATATAGTCAGACAAAGGAATAAATTCTCATTTTCCACACGACTTTCAAACTAGTAAACAATACAAGAATTCTATAATAGTTTCTTTTCAACTCATGCCATATAATGTACAAAGTAAGTTTGTATGTAATGGCAACTCCTGATCAGCTTTCCAGACATGAAGATTCAATGATTAGAGGCTTAACTTTAATATGCAAAGTAGAGGGTTGGGTGGATGTGGAGAGGGCATCAGGATAAATAATCCACATAACTGGAAGTGGAAGTTTAGGTCATTTCCTATCCAAGGATATATATAGGGCATATTGAATAATGGTCAGACTACCTGAAAGGAAACCACAAGCTGATTAGTTCCACTCTAAGGGATGGTTTTTAAAAACCAGTTGTTATTCTTCACCATTGATTAGAAGTCTAAATGGAAGGCTACATATGGTGAAAGATATATACATTCAGTCATTACCACAGAAGGGTGATAAATTATCCAGCATGCCTGCAGAGAACTCTCTAATCCACTCTTTCAATTTTCACTCTCACCTGTGAAAAAGCCTGAACTGTATGCCAACTGGTTGTTAATAATGCTCTCTGGAAGGGAGCAAGTTGAAGTTGTTCCCCAAACTGCAAATTAAGAGACAAAGTATGTGTGTCTACTACAGTTGAATGAAATTATATATCAGAATAAAAGACCATGTCTGCAGTACAGGACTGAAGTATGCTTTCATGTGTCCTATAAAATCCTTGTGCTCTGGGCAGCACAAAGCTCTTAGAATGCTTCCATTTCGTCTCCCAGAAGAACATCATAACATAGATGTAGCTAACAAAGGCCTCCAAAAGGAAGCTTGTGATATAAAACATAAAATAATTGTTTTTAAATTTGTAGTTTCCAGATTGGGTTTCTACTCTGCCTGCCAAATACTCTCCTTCTTTCTCATGAGTTAGCTGCACAAATATGGATTTCATTTATTAATGGAAGTGGTGACTCGGCCACTTTGCATGGATTCTTTAGCTCTTCTATCTCCACTCTCCTCTTCCTCCACAGAACACAGTGAGGTATGATGGATCCAAAGCCAGGAGGAGGGGAGCTCACAGTGAGGCTGTCTGGCATGGTCTGCAGCGCAGCCTACTCTGGCTGCCTCTCAAAACCCTCCTGACTAGTGCTACCCTCAATCCTTGGCCAGCCCCTCTGCTGGGCAGCAGAAATGCTAGCACCAATCAATTTCTTTTACATAGGTTCCAAATGCCAGTTTACCAGGAATGTTTCATTCTCGCATGTGCGGCAGAGAGACTCTTTTGTAACTTTTCTCTAAAAGTGTGTGGGTCTGTATTTATTTGCTACAGAAAAATAAAATGTAAGCCTTCCACAGCTTAGAGCTGGCCCACGTGTCACTTCTGAGCCATGTGTGCCCTAAGTCTGTCACTCTCCTTCTCTGAGCCCTTGCTGACAGCTATAAAGTAAAATAGCACAATTTTATCAGTCCTGCCTTCTTCATGGGGTCATAGCATCAAATGACCTATGTGAACGGGCTTTTGATGACTTACTTTCAATTAAATGTATTATATTATTATTAGCCAGGAAAGCTTATCAAATCAGACATGCATATTTACACAACACTGCCAAGTTACAAGGTTATATACATGGAATATGAAAGCTGAATCAAGGAAATGGATAAAAGAAGGAGGAAGGAATTACAGAGAGAGGAGAAGAAAGCCATGAAAGACAAGTGTGAAGGTACATCTGTGCAAGTTCAGTAAGAATCTGAAAAAGTAGAACTTGAAGAGGTGTCTGTTTACAACCTCACTGTGATGGTTAATGTGATGTGTCAACTTGGCGAGGCTGCGGTGCCCAGTTGTTTGGACAAATACTAGTCTAGATGTTGCTGTGGAGATATTTTGTGGCTGTGATTAATGTTTACCATCAGTTCACTAAGAAAAGCAGATTTCCCTCAATAATGTGGGAGGGCTTCATCCAATCATTTGAAGGCCTTAAGAACAAAAACTGAAGTTTCCTGGAGAAGAAAGAATTCTATCTCAAGATTTAACATAGAAATCTTGCCTGAGTTCCAGCCTTCAGGCCTGCCCTACAGATTTCGGACTTACCAGTTCCCACAACCGCATGACCAATTCCATAAAATAAATCCCCATACCTCTATAGATGCCCTATGGTTCTGTTTCTCTGGAGCACCCTGAGTGATATAATCACCAAGGCTGTTTTTACTGGTAATCCCATTGGATTCTTTTTAGTCTTTATCTTATTTGCCATTTTGCAGGAACATGTGCATTCGAATCATGCCAGCAATACAGTGTAGAGAGAATAAAGTCCTGAGCAAATGAGCATTTTTGGATACAATGAGAAGAGTTTGGTGGCTCTCAACGTCAATAAATATCTCCACTTAGCTGTCTTACCAATAGCTCAAACTCAAATGTTCAAAACAGAAATCTTTGCTTCCCATAAGAGGCTTCTTTTCTTGAGTTGCTGCTCCTGCAGTGTCCCCCTCTGCCCCCACTGGAGATTCATCCTTCCCTTCTTCCTCTGGGTGACTGCTCATGTCTACTCCAGCAAGCTTATAGTTCTTCCTTGAAACAGTTTCTCAGATGAAGCCCTCAGCATCAACCCCTACCCAAGTCTGCTCTTCCATCTTTATTCTCCATCTCAGTGGCCTCACTATGATTCGCCAGAATGAGGACTGAGAGCCACCTCCACTTCTATCTCCTCTTCATTCCTACATCATCACGCGTCTGTCATTCCTAACTCATTAATGCCACCTAAATCCACCCCAGTCTCTACATCTCCCCTGCTACCATTCTTTCCAGATCATTTTACGTCCCCCCGCTTAGCTGCAACAATACCCTAATCATCTCTCTCTTCCCATTTGTCCTCCTCCTTGTCCTTTAGCAGAATGGCCTTCTCAAATGTTCCTCTGACCCTGCCACCCTACTCTTTTAGCCCTTCTAAGACTGCATACTTTTAGGGTAACCACTTGGAATGGCATGCAAAGTACTCCATAGCCTCATCCTGCTCCAATCTCTATTTTTACTAGTTACTTCCTAATCTCTTTCTTGAACTTTATATTTCAGCTTTATTTCATACACCACTTCCCAAAATGACAGTTTTTTCTTGGGTTCCAAAGGCTTTGAAAATGCTAACCTCTTGGAAAATACACACTACTTCGATTTTTCACCCAGACAAGTCCTTCACTGATCTCAGATCCAGAGGCATTCCTGATCCCCTCCACATCTAAATCTGGATTATATTCTCTACTGTCCTCCCACTGCACCTTGGTATATCCTGAGCATACTTCTCTCACAAGATTGCTATGTTTTTGTTTTGTTTTCTTCCTCTCTAGATGATAAGGACCTTGAAGACAAAAGTCACGTCTTATTTGCCATTTATCCTCATCGTATAGCAGAGGGTGTGGTATGTATTAAGCACTCAATATTAGTTTGATGAATGAATCAGTGTGTGAATATGCATTATCTTTTAAATAACTCTATGAACTAATTATTAACAATCCTTTAAAGTCTCTCCTGTCTCTAAATTCTATATTCCATCCTTTTTTCTTTCCTTGACCATACAGAAATACCTTCCTTCAAAATTAAGCAGAAGTAAGAACTAGAGATATGTGTGCGTATTTGCTTGTATGTGTGTATATCTTTGAGGCCAAAGATATTAGCAAGTAACAAAAGATGCATGCTTTATTCCATTTAACCCTATGCAAATCTTAAGGATGCATGAGAACTTGTTTCAAAAAGTATAATAAAAATATCATTAATAATTTTTTAAAACATAAGAACATCTAGGTAACCTGGAACACTTTAGATTCCACATCTTGATGTCTTTTTAATTCCACCAAAACAGAAACAAAAACTTATTTAATGACTGAAGAAGGGGATTCTTTCCACATTATAGTCCATGACCCAGTTAAGACCAAACACAGCACTTAGTTAACTTAGGCCAAATGTAGGCCAGCGTCATGGTGTCCACATAATTAGAATTATGCAGAAGCCACCCTTTGTATAAGAGGAATCACAGCATTTTACATAGCTAGTTTGGAAGAATGGGAACATTGAGCCCTTCTCTGATCACATGCTGCCAAAGATTATTAAATGTTTAGCCATTCATGAGGAAACAATAATCATTCAAATCGCTCATTTGACCTTGTTCAAAATACTAACATTCAAAATGTGTCTAAGCTGCTTTGTAACAGCACTTTATTTTCAAGTGGCTTTCTTGAATATAGCTAGTTATTGCCTCACAAACCAGCAAGAGTCACATAGTTACTTCCCTAATTAGTCCCATAAGATATTTACAGGTCTGCATTAGGCAGACCGCCCTAGGAATTCAGCAACATGACTAAATATTTGGTCATAAGAAAGCAAAACAGGAAGCAGTGACATGACACTCTATTTGTTCGGAGACTGGACATTAGAACGGTACACAGGTGTCCAATCATCAACTAATAGCAAAGGCTTTAAAACCGAGGCATTCCTTTTGAATTTTCTTTTTAGAAATTTTGACTGCCTTGTACTGTCTGTTTTGGTTTTTTATTTTTTAATTTGAAAAGAAGCAAATTTAATTTTACTTATCAAGTATCCTGGGGAGAGAAAGGATTCAGTCCTAAACTCTCACTTTTAAAATGTTATCCTGTTTCCTACCATAAGAATGGCAGTGGCTCACTCTTCAAGCTTCATGAAACTGACTCTAAAAGTGTTAGTCACTTTTTTTCACAGAAGCATTGCTAAAAATTAAACTTTATCCTGAAACTATTGGGAATATAAAACCAGACACATAACCAGAATTGTGCCTAGTTGAGGAGGTTACCCTGGACCCAATCCTGTTATAGATCTAAGCCACTCCATGGCAAGAGAAACGGTACAAGGAAAGAGAAGGCCGTAACAATGAATAGAGGTGCCTAAAGATTTGAGAAATACTGAAAGATAAAAAGTCCTCACTATCAATGAGATTATGAAGTAATCTGGAAGGCCTGGGTCTCATGACCTGCCATTAATACTTTTCTCTTTTTACAGACCACCCTTTAAATTTATGTCACCCCCTTTTTTAAAAAAAAATCCCCTTCCTTTAATTTTTGTTCTGTTCTAGGTTTCTAGTGATAATAGTTTTAATGACTGTTCTTCTCTAAAATGTTACAAGACTGAGACCACATTATTCCCAAGTGATACACCAATGTATGTTTCTCTGATGATTTCTGGTTCTTTTTACTTCTTCAGAATTATTTCCAGTAGGACAGTGGAGACTTAGGGCAGTGGAGACTGGCTCTTCACCAAATTTGTTTACTTTTCCTTCTGAGCCCACAGCTACATTTCTCTCCCTCTCTTACAGTTAGGTATGAACATGTGACTTGACTCTTGCCAAAGGAATGTGGTCAGAAGAGATATAAATCATAGAATTCTAAACTTCCAATAATGGTCAAAAAAATCCTCCCATCTGACCCTCCACTCTTTCCTTATCTATGGCTGTGTAACCGTGCCCAAGATAGCCTTGGAACACACATGTTAAAGATGGCAGAGTCTCCATCAGTCTGGGCTCCTGCAAGGAGCCTTGCCCATCAATATGCAAAAAAATGAATTTTTACTATGGTAAGCCACTAATATCTTAAGGTCCGTCTGTTACAACAGCTAAAGTTATTCTAAAACAGATGGTATCCAGAAATAGACCGTAGGAAAAAAATAATGTTGCAAAAAAATTGTCAATATTTTTGTATGTCTATTTCTTCTTCCTTGTTCCTTTTTAAAATTTTAATTTTTTTACTTTAACAGCCTTATTTAAGCTCAATTTGCAGCTCTTTGCCCCTTACTGTAGCCACTTCCAGAATTCCAAACTTCTGCTTAACCTGGCACTACATCTACAGAAACTATAGCAGAGGAAGCATTAAAACAGATTGCCACTGAACACAGTGCTCTCTACAAACATGGAAGCCCAAACCACTCAATACAGAAGACATGAAAAGACACTAGAGAATCTATTCTATGTACACATTCATAGTCATATTCTTTTTCTTTTTCTGCTTTCTGTCCTAGAAGACAAATCAGCGTGCAGGGGCTCAAAATGAACAACCTGAGTTGTTCATTTGACAAGTGACAGCCTGAGATCATTCTATTAAAACTCTACCCCCAAACAGCCTTTCAGTGCAAATTAATTCTCTGGGCTTTTGCTTCTATGGTTTGTTATGGTGACTGTTATAATGACTGAATTGATCTAGCTATGCTGGTATTTTACACTCATACTGCCTCCTACAAGATAAATGGTTTGTTCCCTCCATCAATAATGATAATACCCTGCTATTATAGAAAAAATACAGTTACTACACATTTAAAAGCACATTCTTTGAGTCCAAATATAAATTTTTAAATATTATAATAAGTAGGAATATAAAAAGGAGTAATTAAAGGAATATTTGCTGAAAAACTTCAAGAAAATTTTATACCTAGTTTTCTTAACTCAAGAGGCAAAGCTCATACTTCCACATGATTTGCTTCTGTTAAATGATAATTAGATGATTTGCGAGTTTGTTTTGAGTAACTGGCAGTTTAAAAGAGCAGTCATAAGATGTAAGATCTACAAATAACTAACAGCTTAATATGAACCATACACGATGAGGATAGGATAAGACACAACAAAGATGTTTACAAAGAGGGTGGTATCACTTAAAACTTACTTGCCTGAAAAACATCTTATAGAAATATGGGGGACTTTGAAGAGGGACAGACCTGGGTTTATATTTCAGTTCTGTCTCCTGCTAGATGTGCAACCTTGGGCAAATTATTTGACTGGTCCAATGCTCACCCTTCTCTGTAAAATAGGTATAGTAACTCTCTAGGTCACGGGGTGGTCTGAGAACTGGTATGTTAAGTGACACATGGTAGGTAGCTGCTATAAATTGTAGTTATTAGTATATCAGGAAAAGACACAATTTGACTTAAAAATCTTATCATTTTTTTCATTATGAAGTAAAGGTATCAGAGGTTTTCATCTAAAAGTTCTACTGAGATTTCTTTCCTAATTCATCTACCACATTGGCAGAAATAGCATTGTAAGCTTAACTTGGCCAAGTCTGCTTCATTCATCTGTCAACAAGATTCTAGGGTTCAAACCGAGCTGACAATTGTTAAAGGTGGACAGGACAGAGCAGGCTGCACAACAGAGTCGTATTTCACACCTCAGAGAGTTCTCCACGACCAACAATAACATCATATCTCTGTCAGTCAAGCATAATCATAGGGCTTGATAGACTGATACAAATAAAACAGCCAGTTAAAAAAAAGGTCTCCTGGCTCTTTTCTGGCTATAGTTACAGGACTTGCTTGATTCTGTGACCTGTGAATATTAGAATAACACTTCTTTTTGGGACAAAGAGACAGAGAGACTGCACCCACTATTGACTCTGAAAAGGATCAAAACTATGTGTAAAATTTGCTCCATTTAAAAACCCTAAAGTCATTTTGTAAATTTTGATCAAACTCTCTCTGCTTCCTATTAAAGTGCAAACTTATTTTTAAGTGATCCAAAATAGAAGGTACCATTTGATAGTCACATAATACAATGGACTGACAAATCATTCTAGCAAATACAGTTGTGATATCTGAGCTTGATGCTCAAAGCACATGCACAGAGTCCATTAGAACAATATTCTAATATGTGTTACCTTTATGAGAAAGAAAATAGAAAAAAGTATGTGATATTCACTTAAAAACAAATTATATACATTATCACAAAATTGCTCTGTTGCAGCCATTTTTAGCAGAGACTCCTCTGATAGTGTGTGTGTGTGTGTGTGTGTGTGTGTATGTATGTATATAAATATATATATCTCAAAATAGATAAGGCTGAGTAATAAGCTGAAAGCTTCCTAGAGAATAAATTGATACACGGGATCTAATTCAAGTTGTATTTCAAGTTTAAATTATAAATGATCTCAATATGCAAGACTATAAAAACTGACAAAAGAAACACATAGTTATATATCCACACATAATTCTAGTGGAATATATCCAAGTTTTCCAAAACATTCTAAGTAAAGTTGCAAATATATGGTTGCTAAATTAAATTTTATCATTAATACTTTTCTTTTTTGTTTCTTTTAATCTTACAGTGAGATCTGCCATTATCCCCTGGGCCATCTAATTTTTTATTAGTTAGTTTGTTTGTTTTACTGAGTGTCCAAATGTCTCTTGCACTATTGGAGCACATTTCATAATGAAGTGAAAGTGAATGACAGCAAAATATACATCAAGATCCCAGGTTACACTTTCTAATCTGTCTGTACACATGAAGCCACAGCACCATGGGAACTGCGGGCCAGAAGGAAGTTTGAGAAATTTACTCGATGTAGGTTCTGTGCCAAGGATTGCTCACCAGAAGCAAGACTAACTTCTCAGACCAATTTTGTGCTTTATATTTAGAGTGCAGAATGGAGGCAAGGGCAACTGTGATTAAGATGACAATATATGCCTCGATAGCACACTTGAGGAGATAGTTGAATAATGTTTTAAAAGATACAAAGTAGGACAATACATTTCTCTAAAAATTAAAATTACAGAAACTGTCAGATTTTAGTTCAGGAAAAAGAAGTGAAAGGAAAATATATACAGTTGACCTTAAACAGCATGGGTTTGAACCACATTGGTCCACTTATATGCCAGTTTTCCTCCTCCTCTGCCGATAACAAGACCAACGCCTTTTCGTCCTTCTCCTCCTCAGATTATTCAATGTGAACATGGTGAGGATGAAGACTTTTGTGATGATCCACTTCTACTTAATGAATAGTAAATGTATTTTCTCTTCACTGTGATTTTCTAAATAATATCTTTTCTCTAGCTTATTGTAAGAATGCAGTATGTAATACATACAACATATAAAATGTATATTAATTAACCATTTGTGTTATCAGTAAGGTTTTCTGTCAATAGTAGGTTATTGGTAGTAACGTTTTTGGGGAGTCAAAAGTTATCTGTGGATTTCTCACTGAGCAGAGGGTTGGTGCCTCTCACCCCCACATTGTTCAAGGGTTAACTGTACATAAAATTAAGGTGATGTAAAAATAGGAATAGTCCCTAGAAATTAAAATTGTCAGTAATTGGGTATTGCCTCTAAATAAACATACTGATGATAAACTTATTTAACTGTAATAATCCCATTGTTCATTAATATTTACTCAGATATAAAAAATATGCCAGAAATTTGTTATAAAGCCACCTACTCTAAAGCAAAATTTGATGGAAGGCAGATACTTTTTAGACATTATACATGGAGATTTAGGAATTGGAGGCTCAAGAAGATTTCATCATAATGTATTTTACCCACAAGGAAGCCCATGATATTGGGTCCTAAGTACTATGGTAGGGTTGTATTGTATTAGTAAAGATAGCATAATCAATGTTTTTTTTCTCTTTTGTACAATCAATGTTTTTTCATCTTATCAAATATAAGCAACTTGAATTATCTTCCAGTCAGTATGGAAACTCATGATTATACTTTATTTCTTGGATTTGATGCTGTTTGCCAAACATATTATAACTTCTTTAAAATGTAGTCAAGGTGGGACAGTATCAATACTTGTTTTATAGATTAGCCATTTTGCAGTTTCGGCCATAATTTTATATTTTATGTGATTATTTTAATCAAGGAATATGATTTGACCCATGGCCTGACAAACCCATGTAACAATGATCCATGTTATAACACAACTATAATTCATAAGGAATGGAATAAAGTGGTAAACTGAATCGATTTGAAATCAGACATATCTAATTGAATTTCAACTTTGCAAATCCTCTAGCTGTGCAACCTTTGGTAATTAACCTCTATGAGCCTCAGTTTCCTCACTGAACAATAGGAATGGTAACATCAGAGGGTTGGTGTGAGAACAAAATGAAATTATACATGTAAAGTACCTAGAATATTGCTTGCCTTACACTAGGGGCTTAATGCTAATTCTCTCTTATTTCTATGTAATAAGAAAAGGAGGAACAATTGACATCTTTAGGTAGAAAATTTGGACTAACAGATGGCCTCAAGAAAGCGAGAGCTATATGGTTGCGTGATTTTTCGAGGAATCAAAGAGGAAGTACTAGAATCCTGAAGAATTCATAAGGCAGAAATGAGATTTAACTACCTCTTGCCATAGCTAATGTGGATTCCAAAAAAAGAAGCCTTGAACACTCTACTCCAGCCGTAACCTCAGGAGTTTCCTCTGGGTAGTAGTGGTTTGTTACTTACTTAACATGAAGAGACTTAAGTATGAAGCCAAAAAGTAAAGACTCCTAGACCTAAGGCATGCCATCTGCCTAGCATTAAGCAAGAGCTGAAAGTCAGTTACAGAAGCAAAGTCATTTCTAACATGATTAATGTTCCATCCTTGAACGTGGCAGGAAGACTGCAAAAGATATTTGGAGGCCAACGTTTCCTCTGAATAAAGTAAATAAGTACACGCTAAGCCCCTGTCCCTGGACCATGCTGGCCTGTTAGATAAGTTGCCAACGTGGAGTCTGCGAACCTTGGAGCAAACTGACTATCCAGGATGAGAAAATATCTCAAGGCCAATGATCATTGCTACCGTAAATGCACACTGCACAGTATAAACACTGGGGTCAGATACAGATATCCAGGATATTACTCAAAAACACATCTAGCTCAGAGCTGACAAGATAATCTGTTCCTGTGAGTGCAAAACAGACTGGAATGCTGCAGCTATGACCTACTCAAGGAAAGAAAAAAGAAAGTGAAACTCTCCAAGGGCTCCATCTCATGTTCTTTATGCAGGCAAAACTCCAACAGACTTCAAAGGGAGTGTTGCCTAAGGAGGGAGGACTGGTCCAAGCTCACTGGGGGTATCATTTCCATGATCATGTTGCCATCTACATTTGGCAGACTGGCAAATGCAAATATTTCAGATACAAGTTTAAACAGATGAAAAAAGAAGTGTGAAATAGCTTGGAGATTTGCTTGCAAAAGAAACCTCAGAATTCCAGGAAAAGGATTTAAAATCAGAATCTTCATAAGTTATCCAAAAATCCCACGAGGGTATTGGTGTGTGATCATATCAAAAATAAACGTTTTTCATCATATGTTCTCACTCATAAGTGGGAGCTAAGCTATGAGGATGCAAAGGCATAAGAATGACACAATGGACTTTGGGGACTCGGGGGAAAAGGTGTGAAGGGGGTGAGGGATAAACGACCACAAATAGGGTGAAGTGTATACTGCTCAGGTGATGGGTACACCAAAATCTCACAAATCACTGCTAAAGAACATGTAACCAAATACCACCTGTTCCCCAATAACCTATGGAAATAAAAAAATTTAAAACAAATTTAAATGGACATATATTGCATTCTAACATCACATGATCACAAAATTGTGTATCTAAAAAATAATTTTCCAAACTTTAAGTATACTCTTTTTTTTTTTTTTTTTTTTTTTAGACAGAGTCTCGCTCTTTTGCCCAGACTGGAGTGCAGTGGCATGATCTCGGCTCACTGCAAGCTCCACCTCCCGGGTTCACGCCATTCTCCTGCCTCAGCCGCCCGAGTAGCTGGGACTACAGGCGCCCACCAACATGTCCAGCTAATTTTTTGTATTTTTAGTACAGATGGGGTTTCACCGTGTTAGCCAGGATGGTCTCGATCTCCTGACCTCATGATCCACCCGCCTCGGCCTCCCAAAGTGCTGGGATTACAGGCGTGAGCCACCGCGACTGACCACTTTAAGTATACTCTTAAAAGGTCAGTAACATTTTTCTAATAGACATAGAGACTATATTTTGGTGTTTTAACAAAGTTTTAACATACACAATCCTGATAAATGCAAACAAGCCAAAGTGCAGCAAACATACTTACAGGAGGACCTATGGGGGGAGCAGGTGGAGAGAGAAGAGAGAGAGAGGAGTTAGTGAATATGCAAAATATTAAAATCAAACAAAAGATATGAGCATAATCATCAGCATGACATAATAGACATGGAAGTTTTTTTAAATTCACTGATTCTTAATCATTTTTAGACCATGGAGCCTTTGAGACCATTTCAAAAAAATTTATAATTGCACACAAAATTTTACATAAAATTTCAAGTAATTTTTAGATTCCCTGAAGCCTGTCTATGAATTACTGAGATGTTCATATATCTTAAGTAAAGACTAATTTATAAAAGTTTAGAGAAGTATGAATTATGAGAATATTTGGTAATTTATGATAGACCAGTTATAGAGAATTGATATATAATTTCTTGAGTTTGATAAAACAGCCAAATGAGAAATGTACCAATTATTTGTCCTTAGAATTTTTTATTCATCATTATTGTAAATATGCAAAAGACTAGGTCCTCACGTTTATGTAAGTTTCTTTAAAACCATCAAAACAGGCAAAGTCTAAGACAATTTTAAATATTTCACACACCATTATGCTCAATTAAAATACTAGTTCTAAGTAGCTAGGAAGTTGGAAATTGGCTTTTATTTTCTATGAAACTTTGTATAAGCATAAATTTTTCACTTTTTCCCCAAAATCCTCTTTCTTTTGACAAAGATCAAAGATCATTTCTATGATTATCTGATTCCACTAATGTTTTATCATTTCTTTTTCCTCAAAACAAATTTATAAAGTGTCCTCTATTAGAAAACTTTGCACTTTGTGAAGGAATACCTATACAAGTTTCCAATTATTTAGATTCAATGAGCTTTAAAGGTAGCTTTTGACAATACTCTTTAAAAAAAATAAGCAACTACACTGCTCAAATTAATAAATTTTCACAAATGCTTTTTACTTTTACATCTTTCTTAAAATGGAAGAGAAAATGAGGCAAGAAAAAAAACCACACATTAATCTGCTATCAGCTCTTGATAGGTTAATGTTTCTGTTTCAATACTTAGTAGTTGATTATTTTTAATATTGAAAAATACTTAGAGAAAATACTGAAAAATAACAATTTACAGCATGCTAGAGTCAAACCTTAAATTACTTTATCTTGCATGTAAGAATTAATGGCCTGATAAGACTTTATGTGGTCATTTCCAAAAAAAGAAAAACAGTAAGTGAACTCATTTATACAGATCATCTCAGTTTCAAAAGAAATTTTACTTGACTTTTCTGTTTTACATTGGGGATTTGTTTTACATATAGGGATTTGGCCTGAAAGCAAGAATGTCCTGAAGTAGGAATCAGGACAATTGGTTCTGTTTCAAGTTTTGCCTTGGCCAAATCACCTGACTGCTATGGGCCTCCATTTCCTCAACTACAAAATGAAAATTCTAGATTGATTACTAAGGCTCTTGTCATCACTAAAATTCCATGGTTGTACAAGAAGGATAAAACATTCCCAAATTTTGAAAACGGTAAGAGTAAAAGCATGACAGAATTGTGCCAATTGGATAAAATAACAACACAGCTTTCTAAGACATGTGCCCTAGTGTCCCAAGGCAGATGTTTTTGCAAAGGACCTACATTGACTGACCACCTATATAGATGGAAACGTGGGTGATGCTATCACACCGTGTGCAGCTGAGAAACACGCCATTGTACATAGAAAGGACAGACTTAACTTGACCCAGTAAATAAGCCCCAAATGGGTACCAATTGTTACTAAACTGCAATTAACAATACTTTGCAAACTTCTCCTTTTTACAGTTTAATAGAAATAAGGAGAAGATTAAAAAATAATAAATAAACAAATACAACTAGGTCTAGCAGAGAAAGATTTAAACACACACATATAACCTCCAACAAGACAATATTATCATTAATTAGGAAGAACAGATGCCGGAACTTAACCAGAACATGAGTGACACAGAGCAGCTGAAAGAGAGACTTACCAGATTCTCCTCTTCGGCCTCTCTTACCTCGTTTCCCTGGAGGGCCTGAAATACAAAGGATAATTTTTTTAGTGTAGTTTAATTCTTTTTCCTGGTTCCAAAATAGCTAGTAAATAATTTATATATATTTTCTCATTGTTTTTAACTACCAACTTCAAGAAAGGGATCAGATATTTGTAAAGGTCAGTATTGTCTTTAGTGTTTCAGCAAAACTCTTAAGGTTCATTTAATTATAAAAGCTACTCTAGATACATGATCATCTAGTGTTACTTAAGAAAACTAACGATTGGGAATTTTTGTTCATCCTGCTTTAATATCATCAATAAAGAAAGGGTTTGCTAAGAAAATTGGTAGTTGAGTTTTATATTTCTAAGAAATATTTCTTTTCAGTATATGAATAATTAAAGTACTAATTAATAATTTAAAAGTACTAAGTCCAAATGATTTACAGTTTCTTTTCAGTCAGGTCCATCATAATTTTCTGAAAATGTTTAGTTAGCAGTTAGTTAAATGTATATATTAGTAATGGAAAATAATCCTTACAAATATTTATATTTCATTAAATGTGAATATATTGGAATTTCACCGATCAACAACCACCTGAATAAAATCACAACCTTTTTAATAAGACAGTGTTTAGGTAGTAATTATAGGCCTGATTTTTCTACAAGGGCAAGTTCATTATTGTCATTCAATAAATAGTTAGCCTTTATGATGATCCCATTTTAAAAGCAGAGAAAAAAACTTGTTTTTTTTTTTTTGGTAAGTTACCGGTAAAGACCACCAAGCTAGTATGTATCAGACTTCGCACAAGATTCTAGACATTCATGGCTTTCAAGCCATTATTCTCAATTATATAATTTCTGTCCTCATTTCCTTGGGCAGGAGTAGCCTTGCATTGAATTATGGTTCAGGCAAATAGAAGAGAATAATTAGCCCACAATGAGAATTGAGGTCTTACAATATTTGCCAGGAGAAGAAGGCCAAGGAAAATACAGAACTGCCTGATTTTAAAGAATGAGCTGCTAAGTAGGACTGATGACTTCCAAACTTTAGAAAGTTCAAGACACAGGCAGCACAGGCCTTAGTATCCAAGCGACTTTCAATGTGATCCTGAGCTACTGGCTCCCACATGGAAACACTATCATGAGAAACAAAAACATCAGTGGGGCAGTTAGTTTCCTTCCAGTCCCTTACACAGAATAAGTCTGACCGTCTGTATTTTGTAAGAGGTTAAGAAACAATTGAGCAATAAAACCAATAGAAAATATTAGGAGAATAAGCTTTGTAGCAAAGTCCAAAACTGCCAATAGAAATTTCAGATTTCTTTCTATATTCTAGAATAAAGGGATGTTTTCATCATATTCAAGGTATCTTGGCCAGATTGGGAACAGGAGAAGAATCATATAAATGAGTAAATGAGCCCAGAGAACCCTAAAAGGTACGAAAATATAAAGTTAATACATCTGTTCAAACACACATACATACACACACACACACACACACACACACACAGACATAATCTGATATATAAAACTTCCTTAAGACTAAGAATTATATTTTTTCTAGTATAACATCACTTAAACTAAGAACTCTCTAGCAACTACTATATACTTATAATGTCTGTGGTTCACATGGTAGGACCATTAGAAGCCATTGTGGAAGAGATGACAGACGAGAATTTTCCAAAACTGAATATAGCAGTCCTATGATTGAACTTATATTTCAAGTGGCATGTAAAAATAATTCACCCTAACCATGTGGAAGGAGAAACTTAGGAATATTCAAAGATTAAAAAAAAATGTTAGGAAATACCAGAGGGAAATTATAATGGAAAGTACTTTGACTGACCGTTGTCTCACCTACAACAATGGTGCCAGAAAGGCCCAGCCCTGATTTGTACATGTCTTAGAGGCCTCTAATTATTACTTATTTATTGGGAAGTAGCTTATTTGCCATTTTCTCCCTGAAGAATGTGTCTTTCAACAGTGGATTTCATCAAATAAAAACAATAGATTGCACAAATGTTTAAGAAATAACTTGAATAAATTTTTACTTAACAGACAGAAGATTATGAAAAAAATGATTAAAGAAGCACTCACATCTTTTGAAGAAATCAAAAACCAAAATATAAATATTTCTGAACATATCTGGATTAAATATTCAATCAGAAGGTTTAAAGAAATGAATCAAATGCTGTGGAAAATCTGCTTGTCATACTGAGAATTGAAGAACAGGATGCAAGCAAACTCAAACAGCACTTGGCAAGACAGACATCTATTGAATATGGTAGGGTTTTACAAAGCATGTCATAATATTTGACAGAGAAAATGAATTTAAACTAAGTTATGAGAAGATGGAATCTAAACTCTAATGAATTTACAAAGAAAATATTGGATTTAAGAAAAGCAGGTTATAATTATTATTGGAATCAGAAAACTGCAGGGAGCATTATACTGACCTTGCTGAACTAATAAATTATACAAAACTCTCAGAAAAGCCTAGGTAAAGATCTTGCTTCTAAGAGAATAATTTGATGTTTGAAGAAGTCTACTGTGCAGATAAGATAATTTGATCTTGCTTCTGAATTTAAAGACAAAAAGAATAATAAAAATGAAATGGATGAGATGAATTTGGCAATGGATAGCTGGCAGAACAGAGTGAGAAGATAGAAAATCAGAAAAGAAAAATCAGACAAAACTGATGTTAACAATTGTCACAAAAGATAGTGGCCATTTTCATTCCAAAGTGAGTGATGAATTGTCAGCCAGGCATGAGCTGTATGAACACATACAGAAGCTGGAACATGGCTCTCATTCACTAAACTTGGCCAGATCTTTACAACAGAAATTCTCAGTAAATTCTATCAGCAGAAAAACATGACTCTGCAAAAGAAACTGGTTCAAGAAAATGAATGGGAAGAGAAAAAACAGAAGCTATCAGCAACAGAGGAAGTGAAAACTTACAAGCAGAAAATTCATTCAATGAAGAATGAATTACAGAAAACAGAGAGAGACGACAAAACCAGATTGCTCTTCAGGATTAGAAAATTCAGGACAATTGGTACTATTCATGCTTCAGAAAGAGTTCTTGCTAACTTTCAAAAATAGATGCAAGCTGTCAGCCTGAGATAGAATTAGTAAAAATTTGCCATCATGGTAATTATTTAAAAACCAGTGACTATAAACCCAACTCCAGACAGACCCCGTTCATCAAATAACAAAGGCAAGCCTCCTAAACCACGCCAGTTCTTTTGGCCCATGACTAATATTGTTTGAACGCTCTATTCCTCACTAATGATGTATCCACTTGAAAAGGCTCTTCTCTAAATTTAGAAATGTACCTAGAAGGAAACATATGCCACTCCATGGGCCCTCACATGATCGTGAGGGTGGGTGGTTATTGGAAGTAGCTGGAATACCCTTCCCTGGCTCATCAGGTGAATTACCAAAACCCGTCAATTCTACCCCTAGTACTTAGATCTGTTCACTCTTCTCCACTCCTAAGAGTATAATATTTCAAGGTTGAGTTTAAACGTAATCTTTCTTGATACTCCAAGAAGAGATTTTTTTCACAAGGATGTTATTTGTCTTTGAAAATATTTTTACCTTTTATAAACGTTTGCAATAAACACACAGGAAGCATTTAGAGAAAAGTTTCAGAATTCATCATTGGCTGGGTGTTTTGTTTTGACCTCTTGTTTTCTATTTCAACACAAATTTCTGGCTGGGTCTGCTTTTGGAGAGCAGGTATCATGTGGATAAAAAGCAAAGGGATGGCTCACGCCCTGGGTGATTGTGCTTAGGTGCGTTGTCATAAATACCCGAGAATAGGGAGAAGGTGGCTATCTCATTACGAGAATGGCTTAATGGTCACCACTGACACAGGTCATTAGATAATAAATTCCTGACTGAATGGAGGAGGTAATTAATGAATATACAGACACACACTAGGTGTTCAATAAACATTAGCTCCCACTTTTACTTTCTTTATATTTTCTTTTTAGTCCATTGTGATTCTATTTGAGAATTTGATAAAAGTTGACTATATGTGAACAAGATTGCAAGAGATTAATATCACCTTATAATTACACTATTCAAGGAGGCAATTTAATATACTAAAGACAACATGGAACACAGAGTTAAAAACCTATGGATTTTTCACTACTGTGTGAATTGAGCTGACTTTCAACTAATCTCTTTGATTTTAATCTGCTATCTGGTAAATAATACTCACTCCGCCCCATTTGTATGATTATTGTGAGGATGAAACTGTAAAGTGCTATTACATTATACTAAACAAGTGTTTCCTTCATTTTTCATTCATGTGTTGAAGCTTATAAACCATTTCCGTGCTATATTACTGTCATATTCATCAATAAGAATAGTAAGCTTTTTAAACATAGTAAGAATTCTAAAATAGTAAGATTTTGACACATTCTAATAAAAAGCTGAAACTTAGAAGTTTCATCCCCAGAAGCATAGGGAACTTTAAGTACATTAGATAAGAAAAATCATAAAATACCTCAAACAGTAGAAAATATTCCAAAAAATACTCTTATTCAGAGTTTTGGAGGCAGAAAATGGAGACGTCACAGCAAAGTAAAGGGCAGAAAACCGAACTTGTGGTCTGGGAGGGACAGAGTGAGGACGAAGCTGTTTGCAGATGGAGCAGCCCTCTTGATGGACGCACACTGGGGTAGGGAAGTCTGGAGGACAAATGTGTGCAAACCCAAGACGCTCCTCCACCCCAAACAATCCCTGAACAGGTCGCCAACAGCTGCAGCTGGCTCTTGGGAGGGAGGAACCTGTCTGGGCACAGGGAGACAGCGGATCATCCTTTCTGAACCAACCTCCCCCATCCTCCAGCTACATTCAGAGACTAAACCAGGTTTACCTTCAGGTCTTCTGGATTAACCTTACAAGCAGGCACAGATTAATTTCAGAGCTCTCCCCAAAGTCCTCCCACCTGTTTGCTTGCTTAATGCCTGAAATTCCTTCAAGATGGACCAAAGCGTTTCATTCCACAATTAGAAGTAAAAGGCTTAAATGGCAATGCCTGGTAGAAGTAGAACACTAAATAAAATTTATTCTCTCCATACTCATAAAATGTCTGTACTACAACAGACCCATGAGGTCATAAGAGCCAAAGGTTTTCATGCTCTGCTCAGAACCTGGACCATCAGAGCAGCTCCAGATTGCCATACTGAATTGCAACCATTTTAAGTAAAACCTCCATGACTAAAACAAGTTTATAAATGATTCACGTTTCTGCAAATGTAAAACTGAGCCCAACAGAGGCGAAACAACCTGCCCACAGTCCCACACAGCAGATCCCAGCTTCCTGATTCCAAACCGAGAGTTCTGTGGCTCAATGCACTGCCTGTCAGTTTTGAATTCACATTCCACAGACACAACCAGCCACAACCAGTGCGAACTTTCCAAAGTACTTTATTTTATCAATGACCCACCTTGTATTTTTCGAACATCGCTACTTAGACAGATGTATTATTAATCTTTGTGACAGCCTTCCACTAGACTGTAAGCTCATGAAGGGAGAAATTCTCTTGTTCATCCTTGTATCTCCAGCAGCAGGCATGAGGCTGACCACTCGGAAAACTTTAAAGGGGCACTGTCTATGAGCTATTTGATGCACACCAACATTATTTCATACTATTATGGCAAAAATCACAATTACTTTTGCACCAACCTAATACATTAATTTTTTAGAAGAAATGACTTTTTTTATTCAGATTTATTTCTCAAGATTTTCTCAATCAGCATGTACTCCACTATACATAACACAGGGTTGTTTGTTTTAAATATCTTTTATGTGTTTATTTTTGTTTCAAATTTCCTCAAGTTTTAATCTCTGTGGAATGTCAGTTTATAAACGAAAGTTAATCATAATAAATAATAGGAAATAATTTCAGCTTACAATAGCCAAGTTCCATAACTCTCACTACAGAGTATTATTCAGATATACAGTAATCATTTTAAAGATAATGAGTTCAACTGAAATTTGGAAAAGTCTTTCTCCCTTATTTTTAACAATAGAAAAGATATACTAACAAATGTGTGAGGGACTATTTTCTTACACATTATTTAACTAATACATGTATTTAAATTGTTTGCTAGTAAGATTTTTACTGTATTTTAGTTACAAACAACAAAAATTAAGTTGCCAAATTTTTATTTTTATAACCTAATCAGAGCAACATAATTTTAATAAAGTTATGAATATTTACAATATACTGTTCCCCTAAAGTCAGTAATTAGATTTGTTTTGTGAAATTCCTAGAGGATATTTTTTAGATCAAATAAAAATATGAAATATTTAATTTTATGAATAGTCCTTTCACAAATATGCTTATTTTCAAGCTTTTATACCAAGGGATTTATGCTAATTCCACATAAAATTTATAAAACATAAAGAATATGCAGAAACTATGTTCACTGAATGAACATAAAACACAATAAAGCCCATGGAAGGTACAAAAAGATTAAAAAAAAAAACTGTCTTCAAGTGGCTAATAAACGTGGGTGCATTATCAGTATATACATTAGACCACCTAAAGCCAACTGAGAGGATATGTATGTGTGTACTGGTTTAAATGCAAAATGTAATGTTCCTTGGTGTAGTAGCCAGTGCTTTAGAAGAAAATGGGCTGGTTATTCCAGAATATACTTCTCATTAGGATAGTTTTTTGTCTGACACAGTCTTACTATGTCACCGAGGCTGATGACAGTGTAAGTGGTGTCGAACATCGCTATTTAGAGTGCAGTGGTGATAATAGCTCACTGTAACCTCAAACTTCTGGGCTCAAGCGATCCTCCCATCTCAATCTCCTGAACAGCTTGGGCTACAGGCACATACCACCACAACCAGCTAAGTTTTTTATTTTTTGTAGAGACAAGGTCTCACTGTGTTGCCCAGGCTGGTCTCAAACTCCTGGCCTTAAGCAATCCTCCTGCCTTGGACTCCCAAAGAGTCAGAATTAAAGGTGTGAGCCATCGTCCCTGGCCTAGGAGAGTTATTAAGCAGCAAGGTATGCCCTCCTGGCAAAGCATGTTATCTTTCTCATGAAATGCACTGAGAGCAGGACTCTTATTTGTTTCTGTAATTTTTTCAATTTTATTTATTTACTTATTGGGACAGAGTCTTACTCTGTCACCCAGGCTGGAGAGCAGTGGTGTGATCTCAGCTCACTGCAACCTTCACCTCCTGAGTCCAAGCGATTCTCCTACCTTAGCCTCACGAGTAGCTGGGACCACCATGCCTAGCTAATTTTTTTTTTTTTTTTTTTTTTTTTTTTTTTTGCATTTTTAGTAGAGATGGGGTTTTGTCATGTTGGCCAGGCTGGTCTCAAACTCCTGACTTCAGGTGACCTGCCGGCCTTTGCCTCCCAAAGTGCTGGGATTATAGGCATGAGCCACTGTGCCTGGCCTCAATTTGAAATAAAGTGAAAATTTTAACAATTGCCATTAAGATGTTTTAAGTAAATACAAATTAATTACATCAGAACTGTGGTAAATCTAATTCTCAACATTATGTGATCATTAGAGTTATTTTTAAACTGGTTGAGTTTCTACTCCTGTGGAGAGAGGTCAATAAACCAAAATTACCTTCTAAAACTTCTTCCCAGTTATCGCAGTGTAAGTTTAGTTCTTTCTGGTGCCAGGTTTAAATGAAGCATGTCAAGTTTAACTGATAATTAGTTGCTATTTATTAATTTTATAAGTAGAAAAAAACTGATCACATTCATGAGATAACTGGAGACTCTCACAAGGACATACTGGAAAATACTACTGCACTTGAACAATAAAAGAAATGGATTTCCGAACTGAGTGCAACGTTTTCTGGGCTTTATATAGATGCTTTGTTTCCAGAAATGGAATTCCAGAAAATGAGGGGTTATCTTTGTTGCTGTTTTTAATATCTAGATAATAAATATAGTAGAATATTCCATAGAAACTGTTCAAGACTACAAATAGCCTGATGTTGCAGTTCATTGACTTTAATGAGGTCTGATGTGGCACAGTTGTTATTTCTATCATTCTTTTCCCACACATAAAGTGTTTCATTATTATGGTACTAGAATGTTTTACCCCAGGATCCTACAGGGGATTTATCATGACAGCTTTTTTTATTTCTACTTGTGGGGAAGGGGGCTGCAAGATGTCAGAGAGTAGGGGTTGGGAAATAGGAAAGATATGATTCTTTGTGAGATTACATGCTATGTAACAAGAGTGGCCATTATCTATACAACGTAATATATTAACATGAAAAACAGTTTCCAAGCTTGCAGAAAAATATTTTAAATTAGCTTTGCAGATTATATGTTTCTAATGGAACTGAGAGTGGTAGACACCTCTTTTAAAGATAAAAATGTTAAACTAACAGAAAAAAAATAAGATCAAAAGTTGAATATAGTTTTTCAAATATTCAATAAATAAAATTATGTTAATTCTTATTTATCAGAGATTGAAATAATCTTCATGGAAAATTTAAAAAGTGGGCTAATAGAAACTAGGATTTGTTTTTATTAATGGCTTTGTGACACCACAAGCTTTTGCCAAATTGCCGATGGATGAATTAAACACAGCAGCACCACATACACCATTACACATATGCAAATGGCCCAGATATTTAAGCGGGTGCTAAATTAATCATTTAGCATGATGCCAAAATTTCCACCCAGTAGTAAAAATACTCATAGAATAATAATACAGAACTGGTTTAACACTGAAAATGAGTGATGGAAAATGAATAAACAGAAAGGCAAGACGAAGTCATTCGAGTAAGAGTAGGAGTAGTTCAGAGAGAGAGGGTAACGCAGAAGTCTGGACCCAGTGAAATAAGCACGAAGGCACAGGCATACTAAAACAATTAGTGCAGGAATGATAGAGTAAGATCTGTTTGTGGAAGCCAGAGAACCTAATGAGCCCCTGTATCATGTGGGGGAAAAGCACAAAATACTAGGAAATAATACAAGGGACAATGATGATGACTAATATTTATGAGTGCCATCACGCACCTTGCACTGGGCTAAGCACTGTACATGCTTGGTCTCACTTATTTTTCCTAGTTGTGTGATCTCAATACAATTTTGGAAAGTGATGATATAGACAGGTTAAAAGATTTGCTCAACAGCACATAGGTAGTAAATGGTGGGTTAGGGATGTATATCCAGACAGCCTGACTCTTGGATTACAAATGCTGAAACTAACAATTTGGTCACTTATTAAACACACTATAGGTCAGTGTATTTTCTGACACAAAAACACACAACTGCCTGAAGGAAAATAGGAGATTT
Source organism: Homo sapiens (assembly GCF_000001405.40). Taxonomy (NCBI): domain Eukaryota; kingdom Metazoa; phylum Chordata; class Mammalia; order Primates; family Hominidae; genus Homo; species Homo sapiens. Next base: position 109,059,451 of record NC_000004.12, read on the forward strand.
AAGTCAACTTAGAAAAAACATGTTCATGAGTATTTCTGAAGCCCTTTATTTAAAATCTTTGTTTATAGGCTTATTTTTAGCTTTTCATTTTAAAGGAAAAATAATCATAAGAAATCACTGGCCAACAGCTAATAAAGTTCTATTTTACAAAGTTAAAAAGACACTGTTCTCTCTTCATACACTGAGAACACTCATGGCTCGTCTAAGGGGATGTGATTAACACATATTTATGTTTAAGCTCAGTTAATATGCTCTTATACCATGCACAGCAGTTTTTACCCATGCTGTTATATATAAGTATTTGAAGTGACAGAAATAAGAAAAATATTGATCTTTTAGAAAGGAGGGATATTGCCTGTCTTCTTCATTATTGTATTCGCAGTACTTGGCACATAGTTAAATGTTAAATGGATGACCTTTTTTTTTAAAGGCTGAAATAACAGTAACACTTCTGTAGTATTTCTGCCAGTTAAAAACAAAACAAAACAAAACAAATGGCAGAGTACAACTTTTGAAATCAGCCATAAGGACCTATGTTTGAACCTGTCTCTTCAACAAATTAGCTACATGACTTTGGACAAATTAACCTCTTAGAACCCTTGTCTTCATCTACAAACTAACCTCTCAGAAACCCTTGTTTTCATCTTTAAATAAAGGGCTTCAGAACGTTTATAATGTAGATAATATCCATCTCAGACTTGTTCTAAGTGTCAAGTGAGATATTTTACCTGTGAGGTACTGAGCACGTGGCAGCTGTGAAGACACAGCATCTGTGCCAGTAAAGGCAAGTGCTACTTAGGAGATATTTAGTTAGGGGACTTTGATGAATTAGATAATCTGGGAAGAAAGAGCAACCTCTAATCCTTTTCAGCCTACAGTCCAGCCCTCACAAGCTTCCCAAAGCGACCTGTCTCTTCTTACAATTCTTCCATGGCCCCCTTGACCCCCACCTCATTGCCCTCTTGCTATGTCAGACCCTAACAGTATCACATAGCGTAATGATAATGGACATGGACCCTGGCAGATGAGGTAAATCATAGCATCTGTTTCATTTTTGTGAACATGTTAGCAGTTGGTCTATTTACATACATGTCTGGCACAGAGTAAACATTCTTTAGATGTTACCAATTGTAGTGACTTTTCACATCTCTGAATGTCTCTCATTTGTCTAGGAAGTCCTTCGCAGATGGTACCTTCCACACGTTGGGTGCTCAGTACCAACTCAGACTCAATTTTCAAAAAAAAAAAAACAAAAAAACATTACCTTCTTGGCAAAATGAGTTCATGGCTTTCAGAATTTGGGCTGTCATGACACAATTTTTCATTCGCCCGAGCTTAAAATATCAAGGCAATTTTTTAGTCCTTCCCTCACATTCTTGTGAAATTTAGTGTTTCATCAGTATTTTTTCTTGAAACAACTCTTGACTGTCCCTTTGTTTTCAATCCCAATGCTGATGCTATAGTTTGGGTCCATACTTTTCAACTCTAAATGCTTACTGGTCTCTCTCAAATCCATCTGCATAAACTACTAGGTTAATCATTTTAACCTATTTTCATCATGCAATTCTCCAGATCAATAAGCTTTCATGCTACATAAGTGAGGAAGTACTTACACATTGGTCCAACACACAAGGTTTTCTCCTATCTAACAAATCCAACCCTAAGTCTCCATACTACCTAAAAGAGTCACTTTTGCCTAATCCTTGGTCTTTCATCACTCTTGTGCTCTCCTTACTTAAATCTAATTTCTAGAAGACATAATAGAGGAGTGACAATCCTTTCTCCTTTGCCATGTATTTGGCTCATTTTTCTCCTCTAGTATTTTTTCCAACATACCCATGAATTGATTCTTGTTGTGATAGAAATTCTGCCTTCTTCACTATCACTACCAGGTTAACACAGTTCAATTTTAATAGAGTTGTTAAGTAAAAGTACAAAATTCTTAAAACTTTACTCCAGTTGCCTAAATAGGAATAGGAATAGATTTCATACTTCAAACTATAGTTTAAGGAGGAGCTGCTATTTTGTCTATTTAAGGAATTAATTTGCTCAGTGCTATGATGTATTTGGAAATGTCATGCATATAAAAAGTGCTCTACAAAATGCCAAATTATCTTGCTAAACTAACTGAGAACACAATGCAGTGTAGGTTAGGATTACAGTTGGCCTCCCATAGAAAATGCTAACATAGGTGATCTTCACCAGAAAATCAAATCCCATTTGGCCATTTAAAAAGACACTTGCAATCGCCTAGCCTCCCCAACTGAGTTTCATTGCCTCCTTCAGAATAAACACAGTTATTTCCTTACAGTTAAATCTCAGATTCATACTGACAGGCAAATTCCCTAGAATACAAAAACATCATGAGTAGATTTCTATGAATAAAATGTTTCCCCATATGATTTCATAATAATTCTAGCACTTTACTGCTGCTATATCTATCACACAGCAAGTAAGCATTTTCCAATGAAACTACAGACGGGCCAATCCAAGACATGATTTTAACTTCTGAGGTTGAGTTTCTTTTCTATGTTGCATAGGAACTAACACAGAATTTTTAAAATTATCAAAAGCCTTGATATACACACACTCTTTTGCCCTTAAGTAATAAAGAAAACATACACCAAAATTTTATTGGCTTTCCATCTGGCATCTTTCGTACTAATGAAGATGGGAAGCTTCAAAGCATGCTGAAGTTTGGACGAGTGTCAGAGGCCTAACTACAAGTGCCAATCAACTTAAAGGACTTATGAAAGGTCCTTGATCAAGTAGACCAAGAGCTCTGGAGCTAACTATCAGAGGTGAAAGTTCAAGGGTTACATCTTTAAGTTATGAGGGAGAAGGTAATTTCAAAGTAGAATTTGAGTTATTTTATTTTGCAACTTAACTATCATAAGGGCTTTTCATAAAATAGGATGGTTTTAAAATATGGCATTTTATTATGATATCAAGTAACAACAGAGGGAAAACCTTCAAGGAAAAAATTAACTGTAGTAAATATAGAAGAATTGTAATAATCAGAAATAGAATGGATTCTATGAAGTCTATTTTATGCTCCTTAGTAAAATGACACAAAAGATGTATTGAATAAGACAGTTGTATAAGTAAAATAAATTCTGTACACAAAGCTTTGTGTAAAATATATTCAATAGAATACATTTTCATTAATAGTGATTCTCATATCCATATTTAAGAACAAAAATGAGGAAATTAGGATCTTAATCCACTTTGGTACAACCTATATTCCATCCACATGCATATTTATGAATATGACTTAATCAGGTTTAATCATTCCTCATATTCAGCCTCCTCATTAGACAATCATTATTAAGAAATTCTTAAATTCTACTGGTAAGCTTTGAAGTTAGTTGTTAATACAGAACATGAAAATGGATTACTATAAATAACATAAATCCCCAAGACACCTGATTGAATTTGATTGTTCTCTGAATATTTTATGCTGAGATAAAAATGGACATAACTAAAACAGTTCTTGACTATTAAAATATTTTAAGTCAAAGAATAGCCATGAGTGCCTATGCCATCAACACTTTATGTGTATGTTTGGTTTCCTTCTGAAAAGGCCTCATGAATTTGTGAGAGATGCAAGGCCTAAAACAAAAACAAAATAAAAATAAAGAACAATGTTAGCCAATACATAATACAGTGTTACACTGCAAATGGCACTGATTATGCCACAGTTGCTCAGAGAAAAGTGTTGAGAAAAGGTTGTCAGAAAAGTGAAATTTTAACTTAACTTTAAAAAGTCAATAAAAGGCTGGGTGCTCATGCCTATAATCCCAGCACTTTGGGAGGCCAAGGCATGTGGATCACCTGAGGTCAGGAGTTTGAGACCAGCCTGACCAACATGATAAAACCCCGTCTCTACTAAAAATACAAAAATTAGCTGGGCTTGGTAGCACGTGCCTGTAATCTCAGCTACTCAGGAGGCTGAGGCAGGAGAATCGCTTGAACCCGGAAGGCAGAAGTTGCAGTAAGCCAAGATCACACCACTGCACTCCAGCCTGGGCAACAGAGCAAGACTCCAACTCAAAAAAAAAAAAAAAGTGGATAAAAGAGGGTAAGGAAGGATAAAAAAATGAGGTACAGCCCCAGTGCAGTGGTTCACATCTGCAATCCCAGCACCTTGGGAAGCAGAGGCAGGAGGATCACTGCAACCCAGTTCAAGACCAGCCTGGGCAAAACAGTGGGACCTTGTCTCTAATAATAATAATACAGCATAAACACAGCTAGCCACATGCACTGCAGCTTACCATGAGACTACATTCACCGGAATTTTTGTTTGAAATAAGACTGGATAAGTAAGCCCCGTCCAGATTATTAAAGTCCTCAAATGGCAGGAGAAAAAGTTAAGAAATTCTCCAATAAGTAACAGGAATCAAATATAGATAGAGTAGTAAGATAATGGCATGAAGAAAGTGGTGTTTTGTGAGGACTAACCTGGCAGGAATTAGGGAAGCCAATTATGAGTCTCTTACGGAACCTAAGGCACAGTGATAAAGGGACTAGTGACAAATGGGGACAAAAAATAGATACCGAAAGTAATACTTGACAAACAGAGTCAAAGTTGGAGGCTTAATTGGATTTAGGAGGTGAATACAACAGGTTGAAAGTCAAAGACGGTCACCAAGGATTTGAGCCTTATAGAATAGAAAATCGGTGGTACTATTTACATATATTGGATAGATTAAACAAAAGATCCCTCTGCCATTAACGTGATAGTCAGATGTCAACCTTGGACCTTGGAAACAGTTTCAGAATATTGGCATATTTATATGAATTAGATCCTCTGTGGAGTCTGCCTTTCTTCTTTTAACACGATATGCACAGACCTTTACAATTGAAGATTTGTCCCAAAACTTGGAAAACATTTGTTCTTGTATTTGGGCATCCATAGTATGCAAGTTTAGTTTTGTAGACATAATTACAAAGTTCTACAAGTAAATGGATAATAAGTTGATGTTAATATTACAGAATCCTTACCAACAAATCATCAAATGGAGGCCAAACCTACTAAGGTTGTTTGTATCTTTCTATCGATTCCCTTAAAATCTGTGAAATCCATTCCAATATTTTCACTCAAATACAGTGATTTAATTCAGAATTTTCATCAGTTGAATATTGATTTGAATCATTCCTGAACTAAGAAGACAGCAGGAACAGTGACTAGAGAGCCAGAGACCTCCCATGCATTGTCATTAAGTTCTACAGAATATTAGACTTCTTATCTATAACATGAAAGGACTGTACTGGAGCTCCATGTTTCCTTCCAACAATATGATTCCATGAGAAGCAAAAGAAAATCATTTTTTCTTTCTAACTAAATGACCACATCTGGTCTCTAGTACCTACAAAAGCCCTAACCCTAGGTCCATCAAAGTAAATACAAGAAAGCCAGCCAAGTCAATTGATTTCACATCCAACAGACATGCAGATCATTATGTGAGGATCACAGGAAGCACCTCCTTGAGGAGGTACAGGGTAGAAGTAGAACATGGTGTATCCAATGCACCAGTAAGGAGGGCAGTCAGCCCACAGAATTCTTATTGGCTTTCCAGAACTGTGACAAGAACTCGGGAGTCATAATGAATGAGAGCAATGTGCTCTGCTCCTTTTGGGCTCATCTAGCCCCTCGGACTGGACTGATGGCTACAGCTGAGAAATTCCAAAGGGATTGAGGAGGGGAAGTGCTCAGGGCATGATGCAGGCACACAAATCCCTCTGGAGTCCTAATCATTCTGCCCAAGTACACGCAATCATGAAGCACAGTTGTTTGATCTGGCTACACACTCCGTCTTTCTTGTGAGGGAGAGGGAGGACTGTTTAGAAGTAGGAACACTCCCATTCAGTTGCATCACAAGTTGTGATAAATCAATAGCCAGTCCTTGTCCAGCCATGTCAATTATAATCTGGCCAGATCAGTTCTACATTCCAGAAGAATGTAGGGAACTGTTTTCTATAGTTACCTGACAGAAACATGTTGTATTTATTGCACTAGAAAATGTTGATGTAGTAATCCAAGCAACACCAAATGGCTTGCAAATACCTTTTTGGTGCAGCACGCGCGCGCGCGCGTGTGTGTGTGTGTGTGTGTGTGTGTGTGTGTGTGTGCAGGTGCATGCACGTGTGTTTAAGAAATAAATTTTTTCTCCCTTAATACTATCCCTTACTTTTATTCCATTGGATGAAACAACCAAAAATATCTAATATTAATTTAGAGGAAGTCTTGCAAAGAGAACCTATTGAACAACTCTATTTTTATTTAAAGACTATGCCAGTCTAATGACTATCTCTGGTCATTAGTCCTAGATTTTGAGCCACAATTGACAAGACCTTCCTTGTGATGACAGATTAAAGTATTCACTGTATGGCAAGGTTTTTTATTTCACTGCAGCAACCAATGATGAAATGCAATATGGTCAGATTAAAGGTAGCACATAACTACCCTTTTGTAGTAGTAATGCCTTTGGTGAACCCACACATGCTATCGGTCATTTAAATCCATAACCTGGAGCTGAGCAGAGCCCCATCAAAGTCTTCTTTACATGCCCCACCTGCCCTGGGGTGGTGCATACATCATTTGAAGCAAAGCTTAGTGACAGCTGCAGAAATGTACTCAGTGAAGCTAAAATAGACTGCAATCTAGAATAATAGTGATGGAAATATCTGGACATTCATATTTAAATGAATGAAATGATTACCCTAAATCCAGAGCTGATTTGCAGCTGGTACACATCAGCACTACCACACTGGTTGTTGGTCAGTTTTAGAAGCACCACTCACCCCAAGTGCCTCTTTTTCTAATACCTGACCATCTTAGTCCCTTCCCCAGAGCCCCTGAAATGCCACACAAAATGGGTACTCAAGGAAGAAAACACCTGGCCCATCAGGAGGTCTCCCAAACTCTGTTCCAGCATTGAGACTGGCATCCACTATGATTTGCTGAAAGGCAATTTGATTAATACTTTGAATACTACCCTGCCTATCTCCATCATCATTACAGCACATATCATGTTGTATTGCAGTTATTTCTTTGTAAGTCAGCATTCATCTACTATTCTCAAGCACTTAAAAACAGAGAACCAATCTAATTCATCTTTGAACTCTAGTGCCTAGGAGAATGGTAGATTATAAATAGATACTTGGTGAACCTATGGATGAACGAACTCCAAAATAATCAAATTCCTTTCTTCCTTTTTTTGAGACAGGATCTTGCTCTGTCTCCAGCACTCCCAGGCTGGAGTGCCATGGCATGATCATAGCTCACTGCAGCCTCAAAATCCTGGGTTCAAGGGATCCTCCTGCCTCACTCTCCCATGTAGCTAGGACTACAGGTGCATGACACCACACCTGGCTAATTTTTTTATTGCTATCTTTTAGTAGAGATGGGGTCTCACTATGTTGCCCAGGCTAGTCTCTAGTGATCCTGCCTCAGGCAATCCTCCCAACTCAGCCTCCCAAAATGCTGAGATTACAGGTGTGAGCCACTACACCCAGCCCCAAAATCAAATTTCACCATGTCACTTTGATAATATAATATTTTCAGATAAAATTATTCTCATTCTTACACAATATTTGCAACTTCTTATAAGGATTTTCATATAGACACATGTGGCCTTCAAGGTTTTTTTTGGCTTTCACATAGGAAGATAGCAATGGTGAACTAACGGTCCCAAGAGGGAACTCTTTTGAGTTAGTTGTGCTTCGTGTCTTACACCTGCCACTGTCCTCTGGAAGCATAATAAGCTTTATAAGAGAACATCCTATGGATATAAAAATATCAACATTAAGAAAAAACCCTTTCATCTGACTCACTATAGAAATAATCTCAATAACTTATATTCTTCAAATACCCATACTTTTTGAATGTATATAATGGCTGAGACTCCATTGAGCACCGGGGTCCCCTACCCCAGCACTTTTAATCTAAACACAGTGAAACTCTTTGATGTCTAAGGAAAAAAAAAATTGAAAATATTTTTGTCTTCACTGCATTTAAAAATTACAGTCACAGAGTGTTTTTAAAAATATTTCCATTGGACAATATTTTGGTGCCAGACAGGAACCTAAATTTTGTTTCATCGTGTTGGGGAACATTTAGGATATCAGGAAGCACAGTGGAAAAATTTCTTTACAGAAGAATATATTCTCCATCTCCTGGTGAACAGTTTTTGTTTTCTTTTCCAGGGAGTAGTTTATGTACTAAGTTTAGGCCACACATGAAAGTAATATCTCCCTCAAGAGACTGCCTTTGGCTTATGCTGATTTTTTTGAGGCCAAGACTATGGTAATGATTTAAGGAGGAAAAGAAGCAAAATGGAACAGGAGGAAAAGATGGAAGAAAAGGGATTAGAGAAATGAACAGTTTTCCCAATAGAATTCAACACAGTTAAAGTATGTGTTGGGAAATCATGAGGGTCAGATCTCAGAACCAAAGTCAATGAGATAGTGACTTCATTGGGTAATCCATACTGGGTATCATGTGGCCTGATTCACCAAAGGAATGTCAAAGATGCAACAATAATCGAAAATCAAGTTCAGTTCTCATTACACAATAACCAGAAGTCTACTGGGGTGCGTGCCATTGCTTTCGGTGGCTCCTCCAAGGCCAGCTGTGCATATCTTCAGTAGCTTGGAAGCTGGCCAGTGCAGTAAGCACCATGCTGGACTTGGGAAACTAATCTCCTGTATTATTGCTTTTTCACAGGTGGGACATCTGCCCTTTTCTTTTATCAAAGTCTTCCTAATGACATATTAAAGGCTCCCCAAACTCAACACAACATTGGATTATTACAGTTGAATGAAAAGATAAAAGCAAAAAAGAAACATGAGTAATGAGTAAGCAGGATATTTAGTCTAAGGACCTGGTGCACATGCAACAGATTTACCATTTTTGACAGCCAGACTGAAAGGGAGGGAGAGAGGAAGGAAGGAAAGAGGAAAGGAAGGGAGGGAGGGAAGCAGGGAAGAGGAGGGAGGTAGGGAAAAGGAGAGAAGAGAGAGAGCAAAATCGGAGGGAAAGCAAACAAACTCAGGATTTTAAAAATTGTCAGTTTGTCAAAGGAAGTTTACTTCTAAATCTCCTATAATGAATCTGATAATCCTATATAGTAGTTTAAAACATAAAACCAGCAGCATGGCCAAATGAAAAGATAATATGTTCTGGTGCTTATAAGCCTGGATTATAATTCTATCACCACTAAATATGTGATTTTCTAAATGTGGCAACTGTGTGACTCTCAGTTTCCTCATGTATAAAATGGAAATACTAAATATGACCTCACGAAGTATTTACTTATTCAAAAATAATTAGAGACCTTACTATGGCCTGGCTCTGGGTTCGGTGGTACAGTTAAAACAGAGAAAAGATGCACAGAGCCTTTACAATGGAGCTTACATACAAACAGAGGAGACAGGAGACAAGGAAAACAAGAAATATGTCACATATTTACATACTGAGATTAGTCCTATGAAAGACATAGTCAGGTCCTATAAGAGGAAATAATTATGATGAAGAATGAGGTGAGATATGAATAGCACAGGCTATGACACATATTAAGCCCTCAAGAAATATGAATTTCTTCACTTTATAATTTAACCACTCTATAAAATTCAAATATTTTTAAAATATTTAATATTTAAATATTTTAAACTTTAAAAATTTTTTTTTGGCTGAGCAGAAAACTCTTGCAGACTTGCCAAAAAAAAGGCAATTTAAAATTAACAATACCTAATTAGTTTTCTTTTTTTTTTTTTAAGAGACAGGATCTCATTCTGTCACCCAAGCTGGAGTACAGTGGCATGATCATGGCTCACTGCAGCCTCGACCTCCCTGGCTCAATCAATTCTCTCACCTGAGCCTCCCCAGTAGTTGGGACAGCAGGCATGCACCACCACAGCCAGCTGATTTATTTTTATTTTTAGTAGACAAGGTGTCTTGCTATGCTGCCCAGGCTGGTCTCAAACTCGTGGCCTCAAGCAGTCCTCTCAAAGTGCTGGGTGAGAGCCACCATGTCCAGCCCCTAATGAGTTTTAAAGTACGTGGAATTTCACGTCAACTTTTAACTACTACTTCAATGTAGAACATCAGGGACCATGATCATTTAAGCCAGTCCCAGCAGTGTAAGTATGCTGAAGTCAAAAGCTGAATGGCAAACATTTGTGACTACATCTAAAAGGAAGGTGGAACAATAAAGAATTGGGACGTGCAGTGCAAGCCAAGACAAGAACACTTTCTGGGCTCTCTGTAAATGAAATCTTCATATCCCTCTATGGCGCTATTTTCTTTTCCTGGAGAAAATCATGAGAACTGGAATTGTCCAGGAAATGTGGAAGCTGCTGGCTTCTAAACATTTGAAAACTCACTTTCTTTATTCATATATGAAATAAGCATATGCTACTTACCTTAAATAGCTAAATATTAAAATATACAATTTTTGAAAATAAAAGCAAGATAACTATATAATAGGAAATTTCAAAAATTAAGAAGAGCAATAATTTTTTTTTTTTTTTTAAACCCTCTCACCTGTAATCCCAGCACTTTGGGAGGCCAAGGTGGGCAGATCACAAGGTCAGGAGATCGGAACCAGCCTGGCCAACAAGGTGAAACCCCGTCTCTACTAAAAATATAAAAAAAAACTAGCCGGGCATGGGGTGTATGCCTCTAGTCCCGGCTACTCGGGAGGCTGAGGCAGGAGAATGGCATGAACCCAAGAGTTGGAGGCTGCAGAGAGTCGAGATCATTCCAGCCTGGGAGACAGAGCGAGACTCTGTCTCAAAAAACAAAAAAAAAACCCTCTCACTTTGCTGACACAACTATTGTTTGGCACCAGTGTACTTTTATGAGCATGTATTTGATAAGTTTATTTCATGTGCATAACATTTTTTAATCTTTTTTTTTTTTACTTAATCCCACATCATAAGCCCTTTCCATGTTATGTCAATCTTCATATTCATGATCTTTAATCATATTTGGTTAAGTAGATGTTTCATTTTAGAATAATTACAAAATCCATGATCCTGATTTTACTGTTGAACATTTTGGTTGCCCACACATTTTGGCTACTATTTCTTTTTTTATTATACTTTAAGTTCTAGGGTACATGTGCACAACGTGCAGGTTTGTTACATATGTATACATGTGCCATGTTGGTGTGCTGCACCCATTAACTCGTCATTTACATTAGGTATAACTCCTAATGCTATCCCTCCCCCCTCCCCCCACCCCACAACAGGCCCGGTGTGTGATGTTCCCCTTCCTATGTCCAAGTGTTCTCATTGTTCAATTCCCAACTATGAGTGAGAACATGCGGTGTTTGGTTTTTTGTCCTTGCGATAGTTTGCTGAGAATTATGGTTTCCAGCTTCATCCACGTCCCAACAAAGGACACGAGCTCATCCTTTTTTATGGCTGCATAGTATTCCATGGTGTATATGTGCCACATTTTCTTAATCCAGCCTATCATTGATGGACATTTGGGTTGATTCCAAGTCTTTGAAAAAGAGCCCGCATTGCCAAGACAATCCTAAGCCAAAAGAATAAAGCTGGAGGCATCACGCTACCTGACTTCAAACTATACCACAAGGCTACAGTAACCAAAACAACATGGTACTGGTACCAAAACAGAGATATAGATCAATGGAACAGAACAGAGCCCTCAGAAATAATACCACACATCTACAACCATCTGATCTTTGACAAACCTGACAAAAACAAGAAATGGGGAAAGGATTCCCTATTTAATAAATGGTGCTGGGAAAACTGGCTAGCCATATGGAGAAAGCTGAAACTGGATCCCTTCCTTATACCTTATACAAAAATTAATTCAAGATGGATTAAAGACTTACATGTTAGACCTAAAACCATAAAAACCCTAGAAGAAAACCTAGGCAATACCATTCAGGACATAGGCATGGGCAAGGACTTCATGTCTAAAACACCAAAAGCAATGGCAACAAAAGCCAAAATTGACAAATGGGATCTAACTAAACTCAAGAGCTTCTGCACAGCAAAAGAAACCACCATCAGAGTGAACAGGCAACCTACAGAATGGGAGAAAATTTTTGCAGTCTACTCATCTGACAAAGGGCTTATATTCAGAATCTACAATGAACTCAAACAAATTTACAAGAAAAAAACAAACAACCCCATCAAAAAGTGGGCAAAGGTTATGAACAGACACTTCTCAAAAGAAGACATTTATGCAGCCAAAAGACACATGAAAAAATGCTCATCATCACTGGCCATCAGAGAAATGCAAATCAAAACCACAATGAGATACCATCTCACACCAGTTAGAATGGCGATCATTAAAAAGTCAGGAAACAACAGGTGCTGGTGAGGATGTGGAGAAATAGGAACACTTTTACACTGTTGGTGGGACTGTAAACTAGTTCAACCATCGTGGAAGACAGTGTGGCAATTCCTCAAGGATCTAGAACTAGAAATACCATTTGACCCAGCCATCCCATTACTGGGTATATACCCAAAGGATTATAAATCATGCTGCTATAAAGACACATGCACACATTTTGGCTACTATTAACATGAGGAACATTTTCGTGCAGATAGGGTTTTTGTTTTCTTTTTTCATAATAGGGATTGTTTCCTTGGGATGAAGTTTCAGAAATACAACTCCTGGGCTAAGAGGAGTCGAAAATCCATTTTGTGGAAATTGACATATACTGCCTAATTGCTTTCCAAAATATATATACTAATTCATAATGACTATTATGTATTGAAATATATAATACTTTGAGTCTCCATACCTATGTCACCACTGGATAATTTCATTAATTTTCAAATTTCTGTTAACAGATGAACGATGTTACCTTAATTTAACTCACGTTTTCTTCCTTCCTAATTAGGTTGAACATTTTTTATTTAATAGTTACATTTCCTCTTTCATAAGCTCAGTTTATGTATTTTGTATGGATGAGTTTTGAGAGAGTCAAACAATGAGAAATCTGTTATTTTGAAATTTGGTCTTGTGGTTACTATTATCATTGATGTTTTCTTTCTCATGTAAAATGTAACTCAGTCATATCACAGGGATCCCAGATTTTAGAACTCTGTTCTCCCTGTAATTATAGAATCAATATGGGTCCCCCAAATCTGGTGGCTAACAGTGATTTCACCACTTCTGTCCTTTCTAAGGTCTGTAACACAGACTCACCCACATTCTTAGCTTGCAGAACCTTCTGCAAGTTTTCTGTTTTCTTTCTGAAACCTTTTGAAGGCTCTGAGATGACAACACCATGACCACTATGCATCTCCACTCTCACCAAGATGTCTTATTACTCAATCATAAATTTCGCAATCAGCACTACAGCTGCCAAGCTATTCCTTGCCCAGATGTGTTAAATCAGTTGCATAACTCTACAGGGGGCCCACATAAAACTTTATACTGCTCCGCACCACCCCATT